>NC_000004.12:151345623-151648653 GCF_000001405.40 Homo sapiens | reverse complement strand
TCAGATAAAGAAATTGAGGCTCAGAGATGAAAGAACACCCAACCCAAATTGTGGAAGAGCCACAGTTCAAGCACAGGCAATTTCACACCAACCTCCATTCTTACGTCAGTGCCACATCTTTGCAAGCCTCACGTCTCTTCATGCTCTAAATCTCTACCAGACTGGGTCAGAATCGAGCTTTTAAGGATACCCATTTCCAGGGCATTAGGGTAGACATAATTCATATTTTATAGCTCTACTGCTAAGCTAAAACGTTAGTGTTTATCTCTTATCTATGTTATGTAAAAAGACATCAAATACTACTACTGGCAGTATTTATTGCGCACTTACTACATGCGAGGCAGTCTTCTAAGAGCTTTACATGTCTTCACTTGCTTTCCTGAGAATAGCCCTTTGAAGTAGGTACTATTTTACAGATAAGAAAAAAAGTTTAGAAAACTTAAGTAATTTGCCCAAGAAAGTACTAGAACCAAGACATAGAACCAAGATGCAGAACCTAAGTCTTGGCTCTGCTACTTTCTTAGGCAAATTATTTACCCCGGACAGTAATTACTCTGGCTAGCTAGCTAGCTATGTCACCACCCATCCATTAGGGCATTTATCTGCTATAAGGCAACCTCAGAGGCAGGAGAGTGGAAAGAACATGGCATCTGAAACCAGAGAACCTACTTAGCTGTATAACCATGAACAAGACAATTCCTCTCTCTCAGTTTGTTTATTCATCTGTAAAATGGGAATACTACCTTCTTCAAAGCATTAAAAGTGATCACACCAGGAGAGAAGTTGGCAAGTTATGGAGAATCATAGGTTTAACTTGAATTTTGAATTCTGAGGCAAGGTTAGCCACAGAATCATTCTTGAAAAAACTTTCATAGTAAATTTAGAAAGACGCCAATTTTTAAATATGTTTTAAAAAATAACTTTTAGGTATGAAAATATAAGATATCCATACTAATTTGCCTAATAGGAAAATATAATTAAATTACATAAATTGCTGATTTCCATGCATCTTTATATAAAGACCAAGAATCCGTAAGACAACCTTAATTTCTACAAATTACGTTAATATCAAACATACTGACATTTTCTTAGTCAAGTAACCCAGCTTTTAAATACACTTTACCTAAGAAAATTATAGCTGGGTGGACAGAATGACATTGTTGGGGTGGATATCAGAATATAAACTGGAAACGCTTGACTCAACACCAGGACTGGGCATTTCCTAGTGGTCACAGGACACACAGAATGTTCCTGAATTGAAACAGCCATATGACCATCAAAGATATACAGATGCTCCCTTGCTCTAGCTGCCTGCCAGAGGGCCAAGGTTGACAGAGATGGCCATTTCAGTTTTGCTTGTATGAGGTGAACTGTAGCTGGCAAATAGCACCAAGTATCATAACCCCTGTAAAGTATTTATGGCAGCCTTCCTCATTAGGTCAATCAAATGCATGCAATTTTGCTGTCATATCACAAATTTCAAGTTTTATAGTGATATATAATAATATGTAAATCCTTATGACAGATTTCTATAAGTGGCTCATTTTAGAAATTAAAATTAGGGCTGATTCTGTCTCAGCAATAGCCATCTCCACACCTCTCACCCCCGTCTTGTTTCCGAAGACATGCTAGCACACGTTTTCACATTTTGACTCTGAGGATCCCACTAGAAAGTCTACGTAAAATAAAGATCTGGCAACAGAACGTAACATCTGGGCACGTCAATAAACACTGATTACAACGTGTCCATAACTCCTTACAAAGCAGAAAAGGATCCTAACTAGTCATTCATAAGAGAAATGGGACCCACCACATAATTCCCTGTCTACCCAAAGGGACACATATCCCAAGGCGAGATGGAACTGGCATCCTTTTGTTTAAAGATCATCACTAGCGAGTTCCTACCTGAAGTGTCATGCATACACTTTGACCAGAGAATATAATCCCTCTCTTGGTTCCCCAGCGTCAGAGTGATCCCGCTGGAGCAGCAGACAGGAGTCAAGGCGAGAAGCTTGGCCGCAGAAACAGAGTAACAGTCTCTCTCCTTCACAGCCCACCTCTGACTCAGCATCATGTGATTGCAGGGGATCAGATACCTAGAATGACAAAAAGAACAAGCGTTTGGTCTCTGCAATGTCTTGAACCATTACTGGGACTAACTAAACCATAACAGGGACTCCTTGTGGCCAGGGGCAGACTCATCCTCTCTCAGCTCTCAATTGATCATCTCACCAGCCACCAGGGTTCACTCCTTAGCTTAATTTCTTCTGAAAGAACAACCTCTTTGCAAAGCACTTAATGGTCTTTATAATTCAATCTCCAGGAACTTCTTCATCTCTTAAACGATCCCTCTTCAAACTCCATGCCTTTGTGCCCACTGTCACCTTTACCTGGCCTGTGCTTTCCCCTTTTCTCTGCCTGACCAATGCCTTTCATTCTACAAAGTCCAGCTTCAGTGTCACCTTCTCTGAGAGGGAGCTAATCCCTCCCTCCACTATGCTCATGGGCCTCTATTAAGCAATATTATCTTGTATCACAATTACTTCAGTCTACCTCCTGAATATAATGTGCTACCACAGCAAGGAGCTGCTTCAGTCATTTCTCTTATAATCCCAGAAACTCTGGCTCATTGCAGGCACTGAATGGCAGCAGCAAACAACCACTCCATAGTGTAAACCTTTTCTTATGTTCTTACGTGTGGCCAGGAGAAAATATAATGGTAAATGACTCACTGAGGATCACTGGGCCCCATTTCACATAAAACACTTTTGGTTGGTGATCAAAAGCATCTTAGTATCATTTTGAACCTGGGGACAAGAAAACCTGAGCAACCATTTCTGACACACCTGGAGCACATCAGTGGGCTTCATGGCTAGAATAAAGTGTGTTTAAATGACTTACTTTCTTAACAGGGAAAAAAAACATACTGCTTATTTAAACAAAAATGGAGCAAATGGGATAAAGAACTTATAGCCAGAGCCAAGCATCACATATGTGTGCAGGAGCCAATTGCAGATGAGCCTAATCCCTTATGTGAACGATCACAAACTTTCAATCAGCCAGAGTGTTTTTGCTTCTGTATTTGGCATTTGAGAAAGAAGCCGTGCAGAGAAAAACAAGCTAAGATTAAGGTTTTTGTAAAAAAAAGATAAAAAGTACGACTTTCAGGACATGCCTTCAGGCCTGTAAACATTCAACCATCTCCCATACCTCCTGCTGATCCAAATGAGGAAAACCTAAGTTGATATTCCCAACTGATCCACTGCAAGAGCCAGAGTCAGAGAGGAAAGAAAGATTCCATTCTCTGTGTGGTACTTGATGCTGAAGGTTTTAATAATACTTTCCAGGTATGATATAGCAAACTTGCCACTTAACCTTCAGTTTTCAGAAAAAGCAAACCATCTAGGTAAGGCGGTCCTCATCCCCTCCTCCTACTGTCTCCATGGGCAGATATATATTTTGAACCTGCTGTCAGTAAGAACCAGACACACCCTGCAGGTCTGATGTGGTGGCAGCTGTTTTCATAAGCGCAGTTTCATGAAAGTAGAAGGTTACAAGGACAAAAAGGAAAGTATGGAACAGGGGGCAAGACTGTTCTGATTCTTGGCTTAGTTTTGGGGACTTTAGCAATGAGGAAAAATGAATGCTGCAGGCAGAAAATAAAGGAGCTCTTTTCCACAAGGATATCTGTGAGTAGAGATGCTCTGGTAACCAGAAATAACACAGGAGAGAGAAGCATTCTCGCACCTCTGTGTGAACCCACCAGCTGTGAACAAAGCATAGCTGGACCCCAGTGGGCACCCAGAGAAGACAATGCTGCTCTAGCACCACAGGAGGGCGCCAGGGTGCACAGCAGGAACAGGGGCAGCAGGTTGAGGGGTGGGAAGGGAAGGCAGCAGCAACAAAAGGGATCAGAGCAGGAGAGAGGACCATGGCTGATGCTGCTGTGGCAACCGTGGTGGGAGATTTGTTCATGCATATATTTAAGACTCCTTATTTGGGGGTGGGGTACTGTGCCTCATGCCTGCAATCACAGCATTTTGGGAAGCTAAGGCGGGAGGACTGCTTGAGGCCGAGAGTTCAAAACGAGCCTGAGCAACACAGCAAGATCCTGTTTCTATAAAACATAGAAGAGTTAGCCGGGTGTAGTGGTGTGTACTTGTAGTCCCAGCTAGTCGGGAGGCTGAGGTAGGAGGATCACTTGAGCCCAGGACATAGAGGCTGCAGTGTGCTATGACTACACCACTGCACTCCAGCCTGGGGGACAGAGTGAGAGCCTGTCTCTAAAAAACAAAAACAGATAAACAAAAAAGATTTCTCACTTGGTGATCCCTAGAAGTGATAAGTGATACTTTTTGTGTTGGGTGGGGGGTTTGGGGGTTGGGCCCAAGGTTTTCTATGAGGTGGCTGGGGTGAGAGCTGGGAAAATCTGTCCTGTAGCCATTGATGTGAACTCTTCCTATAGGCTGGTGAGGCCTAGAGAAATTCGGATTACACAGGATTTATGGTATCCTTATTTTGGTCATTAATTATTTAAGAAATAAACTGCTTCAATGCTTTTATATACTGCTGGAACAGCAATGACTGCTTACAGCTCAAACTAAGCATATTTCATGATTTAAGTTGATATTCATAGATTTTTATTCTTTGTTTGAAGTATTAAAAATGGAACACTGGATCAAAGCTAATAAAGCTATTTATCAAATATCACCAGTGGGTAGCTTGAAACTATATTAGAATAAAGACTTATTGGGAATTTGCAACTTTACAAACACATGCTTTCAGTAGAAACTAAAAATTTTCTTCTGAATAAATCAAATCAAGGGAGATCCCCTATTGGTTGAAAGAGAGTCTACGAAACTGGAAATGGGGAGTCTATTCAAATGAATAGCCCGCCAGTATTCTGAATGGTGGTTCTCAGAGGTTATTATGTTAAGTGAAATAAGCCAGGCACAAAAAGACAAATATCACATGTTCTCACTCATACGCGGGAGCTACAAAAGTGAATCTCATGGAAGTAAAGAGTAGAATGGTGGTTACAGAGGCTGGGAAGGGAAGGGGGAAGAAGTTAGTTAAGGGGTACAAAAATACAGCTAGATAGAGTGCTAGTATTTAATAGTACAGTAGAGAAATTACAGTTGACAATAATTTATTGTATATTTCAAAATAGCTAGAAGAAAATAATTGTAATGTTTCCAACACAAAGAAATGATAAATGCTTGACATGATAGATATCCTAATGATCCCGATTTGATTATTACACAGTGCACGCATGCATCAAAATATCATGTGTACCCCAAAAATATGTGCAACTATTATACATCAATTTTCAAAAGAAAAGAAAAAAGCAGTGGTTCTGCTGTATCTTTAAAATGAAGGATCATCCCAGAAGAAAGAATAGAAAAACAGACTGTGCTCCTCTGTCTCTGTCTTTTCATCACTCACAGGAAAAGATTAGAAATAGAATGAATGCCAGAATATCCCCACATTTCAAATATGAAAATGAATTGGCTGTCAATAGTAGAAAAATCACTTATGAATTTAGTATAGGTATTTATCATCAAACTATCTTTTCATTTATACTATATGTATTTTGTTTGAGAATTTAAATTCATGAAACTATAAAAATAATCAGAGACTAATAAATATCTGACTTCAGAGGTCCAGATTTTGCAAAGCCATCCCCCAACACAGAAGGAAAAAAAGAAAAATATATATATAATATATAAATAAAATATGTATCATATATATTATACATATTGTCCAAAATATGATATATGATATATATATATCATACATATTGTCCTCCCTGATTTTCACTATTTCCCCAACCCTTTATAACCCTGGGCCTGTTTCTTATTTTCTTGGATATCGGTCATTAAATTAAACCATCATCACTTCTAAAATAATTCTGTGACAATCAATTGATAACAAAGCATACATATTGCCCTATGCTACACTGACCATAAACACAAGCAAAACAAGGCAGTGAAGTACGATGAGCTAAGTGAAGTGCTTCTTCTGGGATGATAACCCCAACAATGCACCAATAGACAAACATCTACAAAGCAATGTTAGTGAATTCAAAAAGATCATTTGTGATTCAAAGAAGTTCTGGCCATATTTCTCCTATTCATTTTCCCCTAGGCTGGCAGGCTTTACAGGGTTTTTGTTGTTGTTGTTGTTGTTGTTGTTGTTTTCCTTTCCTCCAAACCCCTAGCTCCTATGCAAGATGAAAATGTTCCTGAAGTATACACACAGCTTCTCTTCAGGCAAAACAACCTCTATCTGAACACAACAGGCAAGACAGTTCATAAACCTGACAATGGACCAGTACTTCTGAAAAAAACTCTCTAAAAAGAATATTCAGAAATAGTATTCAATGTATTAAGCAATTAAATTTTGTCTCAACTGGGAGGTTCCAGGCACATGGCAGAGATTTGTTACCTCACTGCTTGTCAGCATTTCCTGCCTGCCTTTGGCCTATCATATGTCATATCCGTGGAGGTGGACAATTTCTCCTTGGTTTTCTGCTCACTAAAATATCCTGTCTTTGGGGGTACCTTATTTCAACTTACTTTTCTGATATTTCACCAAATGAAAGAAACTAGTATCCGTTACAAATGGATCATCATTTTGAAATGTTGGTATTTATGAGTATTTGGGTTGTAATAAAAATTGACATACAGTCATTATTTATTTATCACATAACAAATACCTTCATTAAACGCAGTCACATAATCTTCACAGCTCTACTGCCTCTCAGATCTGCAAGTTTATCATGTATATTCAAATGACTGCAGTGGCAGCAACAAACAAAAAGGACAGATTATAAATCTATTTTTTATGTCCCTTAAAATAATGTTTAAATGACTTGAAGAATAAAGATTTTTTTATTGGCTTTGCTTTTTGCACAGATTCTAAATCTGAAAAGAATTATTTTCATTAGTTTAAAATGTCCTTTCTAGAAAATTCCCTCCCTTAAAATGTGTGTTATACTTTATAGCAGGGGTGTCTAATTTTTTGGCTTCCCTGGGCCACACTGGAAGAATAATTGTCTTGGGCCACACATAAAATACACTAGCACTAATGATAGCTAAAAGAAAAAAAAATTGCAAAAAAATCTCATAATGTTTTAAGAATGTTTACAAATTTGCATTGGGCCCCATTCAAAGCTGTCCTGGGCCACATGCGGCCCGCAGGCCACAGGTTACACAACCTTGCTTTACAGCATTTCAAAACATTTTCACAAACATCACCACAGTTGATCCTCCCAATAATCTTATGAGGTGGCATACTCCAAAACCAAAACATGCTGAGTCACATCAGCAGTGCAGAAGAAGGATACCAGGAGCCAGTGGTTTCTTGCATGCCTATTATGTGCCCAACTGACTTCTGTGTATGTCCTCTCAGTTTCTCTCCTGGTGGAATCCCTCAAGCAGCACAGCAGAATTAGAAACAGAGGAAGTATTCAATTAAGAGCAACTATATTATTATTATTATCACTATCATCCTCATTAAAGAAACATGGGCCCAGAGAGTCTAGGACCAGGCAGTCAAGCCCATCTCCTAACGTCAGGTCTGGCATTTTTTTTTTTCCATTATTCCATTCAGAACTTGTGATAACATAACATTCAGGCACTTTCCTGGTATATTTATCCTCACCCACCCTAGAAATGACTATCCCTGACTTGAACATTTATGTATTTCAACCATGAGCTGATCTCTTCATCTTTATAAGGGGCAAGTCTGGGTCTCCAGAGAAGCCATTACCGATGCCATCTCTGCGGACACTTTTGTAACACAACAAACACCACTATATGAGCAGTAAAAGGGTGATCAGCACTCACCTTCTAAAGGCCACTGAACAGCCAGCAAGCAAGAGCTTCCATCACCTAGACTAAATCTGACTTGGTGACCCAGAGCTGGGAGGCTCTGCACCTCCAGATCAAGGCCAGGCTTCCAAGTACACTGAAAAAGACAGCTGGTTTTCCTACCATCAAAGAAGCAGTATTTAAGAATTTAACATTTAAATACCATCAGGCTTTACCCACTTTGGAGTAAAAGCCTGGTTTTTTTGGCACTAAAAACGGCTTTGCCAAGTTGTTCTGGATTTCATTCAGGCCTTGCTAATGCATTCTGTCATATATCAGTAGAGGCTTGATGAGGAGCTAACATAATCCTTTTAGGAAAGATAACTAATGTTCTACCCAGACTACCCAGGGTGTTTCTTTAAGATTGGATTTGTTTTCTGCTAATCCTTAAGATTAGCTACTGATGACCTAATCTAAAACTGTAAAAAGTTCAAAAGCTCTTTTAAACTTGAAAAACTAATAGGTGATACTCTCCTGACAATTCTGTAAGGCCCTCCACAATAGGCCACTACCAGCTTTTTCACACTCATTTTGTAATCACTCTCTTTTGCAAGATGTTATGCCTGCACGGCATCACTCCTCAAAGTGGTTCTCAAACTTAGTAGTGCATCAGAATCCCCCGGAATTTGTTAAAACATGGCTTGCTGGGCCCTAACCCCAGAGTTTCTGATTCAGTAGGTCCGAGAGGAGACCAAGAATTTGCATTTCTAACTAGTTTCCAGCATCACACTTTGACACCCCTGGCTTTTCCAGAGCTACCTATTTGGAAATGCTAGTGCATCCACCTGGAATGTCTTCTTCTCAGTAACCTCTACTCAAATCATGTCAAAACCCCAATGTGGACTAGGGGAAGACCAGGTCTCCTCCCTCTTCCCCCACTCTCAGCTCCACCCACCCTTATTCCCCAGGACTGGTCAAATGAAGGGTCAGGAAGTCCACTAAGGAAGGAGGAGCAGGGAGCGCATGCTGGAGGACCCTGGTAGTCCCACTTTTTCGTTTTTGCTTCCACACCACCAGAAGAGCATGTAAGAGCACAAACCCTCGCAACTCGGAGCTCCTCTCAGCCCTAGCCCTTCGCTCCTCTCTCAGCTTTGGGGCCACATTCTCTCTGGGTCCGCTTCTTGCAGTGCTGGGGTAGGGTTTCACCAGAGTAGTCAACTCCAAGATTCAGGATCTGGGTTTACCAAAAAGAAGGAAAGATGTACACCATGGTCTAACCAGGAGTTTCTAGAGTTCTGTGCAGAGATTCGGGGCTAAATCATGAGCTAATAAGGAAGCATCATTGCTTTCCTTCACAAAAACAGATGCTTCTCACAGCGTTCCAGAGAAGAAGAGGGATTGCTGGGCCAAGGCAAGATTTGGTGTTCCTGAGTCCCCTATTAAACTGCCAAATGAATGTCTTCTTAATAGCTGTGCACTTTGACTCCTAATACTCGTCCTCAAATCCCAGCCACTTCATAAAACCTTTCCCACCTGTACTTCCGTCCAAAGGACAAACCTTTGCTACCTTTCAGTTCACAGCAAATACTCATCAAATTTTTACTGAATTTAACTGAAATATACTCACAGATCAGAGAGAATACACTGTGTGTATCATTATCAAAGCAAAAATCATAGAAATTATATATCAAAAGCACTTTATATTTGGAACACTTGCTTTTAATAGCAAAAGTCCCCTATAAATGCACTTCAGGAGAAAGACATTCAGCCACAGACCAGAATAGCTTTTATAATACTTCTGAACATTTTCAAGCATTCTATCTATAATTTCCAGGAGCATATTTACAATATAATGCATATGGCCCTCTAAAAACTTTTAATAGTACAAATAAAATTAACCTTGGGAAACAATGCAAAAAATAAATTAATGTTCGTGATAATTTTCTTCCTTAGATGCTTGGCGCCTTTTTAGCTTATACAACCAAAGTAATATAAAGTATATAAATAACAAAGTATATGAATATAAAGTAATATAAAGTATAAAGTGAATTTTTCTTTAAAGGAAACAAAAAAGGCAACTCACCTTAGAACTAGCTGTAACATCACATCTTCACAATGTAAACCAATGAGAGTTCTGAATAATGCCAGAGACACCACACAAAGCTGGGAAGCAAGAGACACACATTCTAGTTCAGATGTTGGAACGATAACTCTACTCCCCACAGATAGTAAATAAATCAGAATTACAAAATATAATGGCCTTTTTTTTTTTTTAGCAGTTTTGATAAAAAGCATGCTGCTGCCAGGGAGAATGTGTATTCAGGATATCAATTCTCCTATAGGATTTGATTAGAAAGCCAGTGTCTGGAATTATGCCACTGTGCAGAATTATCTTCCTACAAAAATGTCTGGGCTCATATTTCCAACTTTTAAAGATCCAGACAGATAAACATTCTACCTACAATTCTCCAATTCTCTCTCTCTCTCTCACATACACACACACACACACACACACACACACACAATCTCCTATTTAGGTAATTTGTTTTCCTGAGTTATTTTCAAATATGCCATTAGTTATTTACAAGACAGGGCTTGCAGAAAATTGCATATAACCTAGCCAAGTCTCCCTTCAGAGTTCTTAGCCTCAAGCTCAGCTCCTCTCTTGGCTTTGGGGCATTTTCCTTGGTTCCATTTCCCATTGTGCTGAGGGTGAGATAATGTTCTTTTCTAAAAAGTTCTTTAAAACACAAGAATTCTATCAATCACTGATTTCCAAAAAGAGAAGGTAAACTGCCAAACAGGGGAGATACCCAAAGGTGTATTGTAAAATCTTTGTACCCTTTTGAGAGTAAGCTTTTAACAATCATACTGGCCCATTTAAGTAATTTTAAGCTCTCATTCTTTGTACAGGAGAATAAATGCTAGTCTGTCTTCTAGGCAGGTTGGGCTTAAAATCTGGCCAATGAAATCTACAACAATGCTGTAAAGAAAGAGCTGTACTTAGCCTAACTCAAAACATCTCTTATCCTCAGGGCAGGTCATATACTTGTCGTTAGCTAGAAGCAACATACTCTGTTCCCATTCCAAGTCTTTGCACACGTGGTTCCATTAAATGCAATGCCTTTTCCTGACTCCCCCATGGGCTAACTCCTATCTATTCTCAAAGTCTTAGCTTAGGCATCGCCTCCCTTAAGAAACCTTTCTGTTCTGTCTCACAATATTACCATCCAACACTTCCTTTCCCCAGCTCAGTTAGGTTTCCTTCTTATCCATTGCCACAGTAACCCCTGCAAATCACTGTTAATTTATCAGATTGCATAGTAACCCCTACCGCTCACTGTTAAGGGTGAGCAGCAGGGTGTATTTATCTTTTTATTATTGAGTTGTAGGAGTTGTTTATTCTGTGTACAAGTATCTTATCAGATATATGATTTGCAAAACTTTCCTACCATTCTGTGAATTGTCTTTTCAAGTTCCTGCTGTTGTCCCTTGAAGGCAAAAGTTTTTAATTTTGATAATTTCCAATTTATCAATTTTTTCATTTGTTGTTGTTCATGCTTTTGGTGTCATATCTAAGAAAACACTGTCAAGGCTACAAGGATTTACTCCTATGATTTCTTCTAAGAGTTTTATAGTTTTAGCTCTTACATTTAGGTCTTTGGTCCATTTTGAGTTAATTTTTGTATATGGCATGAGGTGTGGATTCAGCCTTATTATTTTGCACATGGATATCCAATTGTCTCAGCACCATTTGTTAAAAAGACTATTCTTTCTCCCACTGAGTGGTCTTGAAATCTTGTTGAAAATTAATTGACCATGGATATATGAGTTTATTTCTGGATTTTCAATTCTGTTCCACTGGTCTGTATGTCTATCCTGCACCACACTGCTTTGATTACTGTAGCTTTGTAGAAAGTTTTGAAACCAGGTACGGTGAGTCCTCCAACTTGTTTCTTCAAGTTTGTTTTGACTATTCTGGGTCCACTGCATTTCCATATGAATTTTAGAGTCAGCTTATCTATTTCAACAAATAGGCCAGATAGGAGTTTTATAGAAAAGCATTGAAACTGTAGATCGATTTGTGGAGTATTCCTATATTAACAATATTAAGTCTTCTGGTCTATGAACATTGGGTGTTTTCCCTTTTATTTAGGTCTTCTTTAATTTAAACAATGTTTTATAGTTTTTGCAGCACAAGTTTTGCACTTCTTTTGTAAAAATTTATTCATATTTTATTCTTTTGATGTTATTGTAAATTGATTTTTGTACATTAATCTTGTATCTGCAACCTTACTAGACTCATTCATTCTAACAATTTTAGTGCATTCCTTAGTTTTTTACATACAAGAGCATGTCATCTACAAATACTGATTATTTTACTTTTAATATAAATGCATTTATTTCATTTTCTTATTGAATTGCCCTGGCTAGAACTAAGTACCATCTTGAATAGAATTGAGGAGAGAAGATATCTTACCTTCTTCCTTATCTTAGTGAAAAACATTCTTCACTATTAAGTATAATGTTAGCTCTGACTTTTTCATAGATGCCCTTTATCAGATTGCTAGGAAGTTCCCCTCTATTTCTAATTTGTTGAGTATGCTGTTGATAATCATGATGTTTTCCTTTATCTTGATATGATGTATTACATTAATTGATTTTCAGACTTTAAACCAGCTTTACAATCCTAGTTTGATATATCCCACTTGATCATAGTGTATAATCCTTTCTATTTATTCTAGATTTCATTTGCTAGTGTTTTATTGAGAACTGGGGAGCCCATATTCATAGTAGATGTTAGTGTAGAGTTTTCCCGTGGTGTCTTTGTTTAGTTTTGGAATCAGAATAACACTGGCTTCATAGAATGAGTTGAGATGTATTTCCTCCTCTTCTAATTTTTGAAAGAGTCTGTGAAGAATCTGTATTAATTATTCATTTTTTAAATTGATAAAGAACACATAAATAAAATTTAACGTCTTAATGATTTTTAAGCATACAAATCACTAGTGGTAACTATATTCACATTGTTATGCAACAGATCTCTAAAACATTTACATTTTGCAAAACTGAAACTCAGTAACCACCGAACAACTCCCCATTTTCCCTACCACCTAGCTCCTGGAAACCATCATTTTACCCTCTGTTTCTTTAAGTTTGACTATTTTAGATCCCTTACATGAGTGGAATCCTACAGTTTGTCTTTTTGTGACTGGCTTACTTCACTTCGCATAATACCCTCAAAGATCATCCGTGTTGTAGCATATGACAAGATTTCCTTCTTTTTTTTAAGGTTGAATAACATTCCATTCCATTGTATATATATAACATACTCTCTTATCCATTCATCCATCAATGGACAATCTAGGTTGCTTCAACCTCTTGGCTATTGTGAATGATGCTGCAATGAACATGGGTGTACAAATATCTGTTCAAGATCGTGCTTTAAATTCTTTTAGATATATACCCAGAAGTGGGATTGCTGGATAATGTACTAAACCTATGTTTAATTTCTTGGGAAACCTCCATGCTGTTTTCCATAATAGCTGCACCACTTTACATTCCCATAAACAAGACACAAAGGTTCCAGTATTTCCACATTCTCACCAACACTAATTTTTTCTGTTTTTTGGATAGTGGCCACCCTAATGAATATGAGATAATATCTCATTGTGGTTTTGATTTGTACTTCTCTAATCTTTTCATATATTTTTTGGTCCTTTGTAAGTCTTCTTCATAGAAATATTCAAGTACTTTGTTTATTTTTAAGTTAGATTATTTGGGTTTTTGGTTGGTGGTGAGTTACAGAACTTTTTATATATTCTGGATACTACCCCCTATCAGATATATGACTCATAAATATTTTCTCCCATTCTGTAGGTTGCCCTTTCATCTTGTTGATTATTTCATTTGATACGCCTAAGTTGTTAAGTTTGATGTACTCCCATCTGTCTTATTTTTCCCTACGCTTCTGGTGTCATATCCAAGAAATTATTACAAAATCCATTGCTATGAAGTTTTCCTCCATGTTTTCTTCTAGGAGTTTTGTAGTTTCAGATCTCATGTTTAGGTCTTTGATACATTTTGAGTTAATTTTTTTATACGGTGTAAAGTAAGGGTTCAACTTCATTCTTTTGCATGTGGATATCCAGTTTTACCATTACCATTTGTTGATGAAACCGTCCTTTCCTATTGTGTAGTCTTGGCACCCTTGTCAAAGATCATTTGACCATAATACAACGGTTCATTTCTGTTTCATTCTGTTTCTTATTCTGTTTCATTGGTCTTTATGCTAGTCCCACACTGTTTTTTATTACTATAGCTTTGTAATATGTTTTAAGGAAATGTGAGCTCTCCAACTTTTTCCTTCTTTTTCAATATTATTTCAGCTATTCAGAGTCCCTTGAGATTTCATATAAATTTTGGGATTTTTTTTCTATTTCTGCCCAAAAAATGCCATTGGGATTTTGTTACAAATTGCATGGAATCTGTAGATTGCTTTTGAGTAATATGGCCATTTTAATGAAAATAAGTTTTTCAATCCATGAACACGGAATGTCTTTCTATTTGTTCTTCTTTCATTTCTTTCAATGTTTTGTAGTTTTCAGTGCACAAGTCTTTCACCTCCTCAGTTAAGTTTATTCCTAAGTATTTTATTCTTTTTGATGCTATTATAAAGAACTTTTTAAAATTTCCTTTTCGAATTGTTCATAGTTAATATATAGAAATTACTTATGTGCGTTGACTTTGTATCCTGTAACTTTACTGAACTCGCTTGTTAGTTCTAACAGTTTTTTGGTGACATCTTTAGGGTTTTCTATATATATGATTATGTTGTCTACAAACAGACACAATTTAACTTCTTTCTATCCAATTTAAATGCTTTCTATTTCTTTCTCTTGCCTAATTGCTCTGGCTAGGACCTCTAAGTGGGCATCCTTGCCTTGTTCCTGATTTCAGAGAAAAAGCTTTTAGTCTTTCACCATTGAGTAAGATGTTAGCTGCGGGCTTTTCATATAAGGCCTTTAATATGTTGTAGTTGTTTCTTTATATTTCTAGTTTGTTGAGTGCTTTTATCATGAAAGGGTGTGGAATTTGTCAAGCGCCTTTTCTGTATCAATTGAGATGACGCTGTGGGTTTTGTCCTTCATTCTGTTAATGTGGTATATTACACTGACTGACTTTCATATGGTGAAGTATCATTGCATTCTAGGAATAAGTCACACTTGGTCATGTTATACAATCCTTACCATGTGCTGTTTAATGCTTTTTGCTAGTATTTTGTTAAAGATTTTTGCATCAACAGTCATCAGGGATACTGGCCTCTAGTTTTCTTGAAGTATCTTTGTCTAGTTTTGGTATTAGGGCAACACTGGCCTCATAAAATTAGTTTGAAAATGTTCCTGGATCTTCAGGTTTTTAGGAGTTCAAGGAGGACTGATGTTAATTCTTCTTTACATGTTTGGTAGACCACTAGAGTGAAGCCATCTGGTCCTGGGTTTTTCTTTAAGATTTTTCAATTATCATTACAGTTTTGATCTCCTTACTTGAGGCAAGTCTGTTCAGATTTTTTTTTATTTCTTCATGATTCAGCCTTGATAGGCTATATGTTTCTAAGAATGTATCTAGGTCCTCTAGGTCATCCAGTTTGTTGGTGTATAATTGTTTGTGGTATGCTCTTTTTTATTTCTGTGGCATAAGGTGTAATGTCGCCTCTCTCATTTCTGATTTTAGTTATTTGAGTCATCTCTCTTTTTTCTTAGTTAATCCAGCTAATGGTCAATCAATATTATTGCTGTTGTTTTAAAAAACCAAGTCTTGGTTTCATTGGTTTTTCTATTCTTTATTTCATTGATTTTTGCTCTGATCTTTATCATTTCCTTCCTTCTGCTAACTTTGAGTTTAGTTCATTCTTCTTTGTCTAGTTCCTGAAGATGTATAGTTAGGTTGTTGCTTCAAGATTTTCTTTTTTAACCTAAGTGTTTACAGCTATAAAATTCCCTCTTAGTACTGCTTTCACTGCACCTCATAAGTTTGGGTATATTGTGCTTTCATTTTCACTTGTCTCCAGATATTTTCTAAATTCCCTTGTGATTTCTTCTTTGGCCCAAGAATGTGTTGTTTAATTTGTATGTATTCATAATTTTTTCCACTTTTCCTTCTGCTATTTATTTCTAGTTTCATTCCATTGCAGTTAGAAAAAAATTATTTGTGTGCTTTCAATTTTTGTAAATGTGTTAAACTTTGTTTTGTGACCTAACAAGTGGTCTATCCTGGAGAATGTTCCATGTGCCCTTGAGGAGAACCGTATATCCTGCCATTGCTGGGTGGAGTATTTGGTATATGTCTGTCAGGTCCAATTGGTTTACAGTGTTGTTCAAATCCTGTTTCCTTCTTTATCTTCTGTCTGATATTTTTATCCACTATTTAAGTAGGGCATTGAAGTCTCCTACTATTATTGTGCAGCTGTCTATTTCCCTCTGTAATTCTGTCAATGTTTGTTTCATATATTTGGGGACTCTGATGTTACATGCATATATATATATACACATATATATAATTTTTACATGCATGTATTATATATAATATTTATATCTTACTAGTGAATTGACCCTTTTATCATTAATGTCATTCCTTATCTCGTGTCCTTTTTTGTCTCTTTATCTTAAAGTCTAATTTTTAAATATAAGTACAACCACCTCTGCTTTCTTTTAGTTACCATTTGCATAGGATATATTTTTCCATCTTTTGACTTTCAGCTTATGCATGTTCTTAGATCGAAAGTGAGTGTCTTTTAGACAGTATATGCTTGGATCTTCTTTTTAATCTATTTAGCCAGTTTATATCTTTTGACTGGAGTGTTTAATCCATCCACATTTAAAATAATTACTGAGGTGGAAGGACTTACTATTTCCATTTTGTTGTTTTCTGTGTGTCTTACAGCTACTTTATTCCTCTTTTCCCAATAAGCAGACAGAACATAAGAAGTAATGTGAAGCAAGCAATTCACTCTTTTCTTTCCCTCACAAAGTAAAAGTCAGTAGTTGGAGTTTTCTCTGGATCTTGCCACACTGTGTTGGGGAGGGGACATGGCTAGAGCAGGTAATAATGCCACCAATTTTCCTGCACACTTCAATATGTCTCTTCTTGGCTTTGTGCTACAACCTCTTAACTGGTGTTCTTACAAAGTTTCTGAAGTTCTTACAAAAGCAGTTTGGTCATAAATTTTTGTTAAGTGGGTTTCTCTGTGAGGGAATAAGGGCCTGGGTCTTCCTATTCCACCATTTTGCTGACATCACTTTTTAACTAGTGCCTAAATGTTTGATAGAATTCACCAGTGAGGCCATCTGGGTCTGGGCTTTTCTTTGTGAGTAGTTCTTTTAATTTCTATTTTAATCTTATTTTGATATAAATTTATTTAGATCTTCCATTTCATAAGTTTGTGTCTTTCTAGAATTTGTCTATTTCATCTAAGTCATCCTTTGGCATATAGTTGCTCATGGTCCTAATTGTTTTTATTTCTGTAAGGTTGATAGTAATATCCTCCTCTTTCATTTCTCATTTTAGTAATTTGAGACTTCCCTCTTTTTTTCTCAGCCTAGCTAAAGGTTTGTGAATCTTGTCAAAGAACCAACTTTTTATTTCACCTATTTTCTCCATTTTTTTAATTTTCTATTTCATTAATTTCTGCTCTAATCTTTATTGTTTTCTTTCTGCCTGCTTTGTTTGCTCTTCTTTTTCCAGTGTGTTAAAGTAGAAGCTTAGGTTACTGCTTTGAGCTCTTTCTTCTTTTTTTAACATATGTGTTCACAACTATATATTTCCCTTTAAACAATGCTTTCACTGTGTCTCATAAGTCTGGATATATTTTGTCTTCATTCTCATTTATCTCAAAGTAAATTCTCATTTTCCTTGTGATTTCTTCTTTGACCCACTGATTAGAAGTGTGTCAATTTCCATATACTTGTGAATTTCCCAAATTTCTTTCTGTCAATAATTTTTTAATTTCCATCCATCATGATCAGAGAACATGCTTTGCATGATTTCAATCCTCTTAAATTCACTGAGGCTTGTTATATGGCCTAGCACATGGTCTGTCTTGGAGAATATTCCATGTACATTTGAGGAGAATGTGTATTATGTTGCTGATAAGTGTAGTGCTAATTGAATATTTTCTCTAGTATAACATTTTAATTCCTTTAAAAGATTTTTCCACTTTTTTTAGTTATTTTCTTAGTGGTTGCTCTAGGGCTTCCAGTATACATTTTAACTTATCAGAATTTACTTCAAGTTTATATTAAATTAGCTCTAGTGAAATATAGAAATATTACTCCTATATAAGTCTATTCCCTCTTCCCCCCTTTGTGCAATTATTGTTATATATTATCTCTATATATGTTGCAAACCGAATGATATATACATTCTCATTCTTTTGCTTTTAAAACAAGAATTGCAATTAACTAGAGATAGCCTTTGGGGAGGAGTATTTTTCAAGTTAATCAGAGCTTCAAAATGAAGAATGACCACCCAAATTCACAACTTTCCAAACTTCCATTTCAAGAAAACTCATGGACAGGAATATGATCTCTAACACCCAGACTTGATGCACTCTGGTTCCTTGGCTTTATCTGTGCTTAAGCCCACATGTTCCCTTGCATCTTGCCCCCACAGAAGTGCACTCTGCTAGTTCTACAGAAGAAAGTGCTAAAACAGAGAAATAGCGAAAGATGTCCTAGGAAAGGCAGTAAGTGTCACCTCTTGACAGAAGGATCCCTGAGAACAAAACGCATTATTCCATTCATCTCTACCCAAATAGAAAGAAGGTAATGGCCACAAAACAACAACAACCAAAAAAGAAAAAGAAAAAAAAAGGAGAGCAAAAGAGAATATTCATAATTTCATTCCCAAAAAAAAACTCTCCTGAAATCTGTTCTGAGTTGTAAGTTCCCTTCCTCTGGCGCTCTCCTTACCCGAAACGGGGTGTTGATTCGACTCGTGAGAGTGTCTAGGATGTGGACATTCTCGTGCTGGTGCAATAGGATAAAACGGAGGAAGATCTCAAGTAGTGCTGGCTCGGAGATGCTACGCAGGAAAAGGTCCAGATATGCAGTTGTGGTCATGACCTCTTCCACAGTCACCTAGGACAAACAACGGAGTGAGCACAGGTGAGCATCCTTTTGATGCTGTGATACACGCCTCTCCCGTGGCCCCCAGCCTCACCACAGTGACATCATCAAGGCAAGAACATGCCTGCCCACGAAAACACACTTCAGAGCTTTATTGAAGCCCATAACCTATTCACATTCCACAATACCTCATGCTGTTTCCGCCCTTTAATTCAATAAGGAAAAAGAAAGGCATAAAGAATCAATTCAAGTGTTCTGGTAACTCTAATCATCAAATGCAGTTCAAATACCATAAAGATTTTAGAGTGTAATCAAAAATGAAGAAAAAAGATAATGGAAAGTATTTACATGGTTAGTAAAGGATTAATTAGAAAGCCCGGAATAACTTGTTTCTTTATTAGTCATTCAGTAAACATTTATTGGGACCTGTTATGTACGAGGAGCTGAAAACATAACATTCCTTATGTCCAGAAAGATGAGCTATGACAAGCAAAATGATAATATAAATTGCAAAGGAGCAGTACAGACACAAAGTGCTACAGATGTTCCGATGTGTTTCTGGAGAGCTGCATGTCAAATTTTTTATAACTGAATAATACACATAAAATGTTATTTACAAAGTACTATAAGAACTTACTGCTTATAAAGTAACTGCGACTTTTTTATAACAAATTAATATATGCTACCTGGTGTAATTTTCTCATGCAGTAAAATGTCAATTTTTCAGTGAATAAGACTCTGAAGAGCCAAGTTTTTCAAGAAGCCGAGGATTTGATGCTTCAAGTATCAAAATTCTAACCTTAAACATTTTTATTGGGAGTATTTTAAGAGCTAGCATATACATCTTTGTCCTCCTAAGATGAGAATATACCATCTCTTGATGAATAGAGGTCATTCCCAGGGTCATCAATTGCCCCGCAGAAGCATAAAGAAACAGCCACACCTGAATGCGTGAAAACCACCAGAGAAATAGTTCAAACTCTCAGATTCTAATACCACACACCCTAGAAATCTTAGCAATCCCTCCACCATGAGTCAAATGCACTCGATTTTAAACAAAACAGATGGCAATACTTTTTGAGTGATTATTTTCCCTTTTCCATTTTTTAAAATCTTCTTTCATTCTCTTCCTTTAAAAGTGTTAGTTGTCACATTATCTTACGGTTACTGGGCCATTCCTTTTATATTCCATTCCTCTTCCCCTTTTAATTTTCGGCTTTTAAAATCCACAGATTAGTTTAGAAACCAGATGTCCAGATCTGCTACATAAGTGTAGATGAGCCCTGAGTGGATGCATCTGTGCATAAAGGCTTGGAGCTATCTATTTTGGCAGTTTAAATTACTTTTAAAAAGTTATTGGTGCTCAGCTTTCTTCTGGATAGATGAGCCCAGGTGGATAAGATATTACCAAGTCAGTGTGTCTGTTTTCTTTATCTAAGCAAGGCATGCTTATCCAGTGCATTAGTATCTAACGAGAAGTCATTCCACAGTGGTCTGAGTACATATCATAGCGCAAATCCCCTTCCCCTAGCTCGGTGCCAACAATGCAAGTTCTCAGTCATTCAATACACCACTATGTCATCTGACCAACTGTAAAGAGCTCTCTGTGGCCCATATACAGCAACAGAAATAGGCAACCATCAAACATTTAACAAATAAATTGCACTGGGAAGAGTGCTTTTCATGGTCTGCCCCTGCTTCTGAAACAAACTACTTCCGTCTTTGTGTTTCCTGATGTTTTCTAGTCCCATATATGAAGCACTCCTAATGCTGCCCTGGGATGCACACTGTGTCTTTTCTTTATTACCTCAATGCAATGCACAAAGCCTGGCACATAAAATGTACTTCTTCCTGAGTGAATGATAGCCCCAAAGATCTAGTGATTTATATTTGCCAGAATTTAGTTTAACTTTTAATTATCCTTTATCCTCTACATGTGTCCTGAAGGTCCCAGAAAGTAGAGACGTTTTTTATAAAGATCTCTGTAATAACTGATGTCACCAATCATAGCTAAGGGGGAAATGACTCACAACAACCCTACATTAGCTCACATCCACTTCACTACTGCAAACTTGGGATCCTTTAGCAGAAACTTAATCCTAAATGATTTAGGCAAAAATCTAATTCCCCAACAACCTTGATCACTAGAAAAAAGTTGCATAATCATTCCAAACAGGCCATGTATGTAGTTTCTGTAACACAATATTTTCAGCTTATCTATGGAACACTGCTGAACTGACATGTTATACAGAATTCCAGCCTTTGCACCAATAATGTAGCATCAGCTTTTCCCCCCTTAAGTTACACATGACCTTAGTAAGCTTGAAAGCACAGCAATCAACTCCTTAGACTACAAGTCTCAGTCTTTGAGGGCTAACATGAAAGGAGGGCATTAAGTATCTATTGTTTACTACTGTTAGGCTGGATAAATGAAAATATTTCATTTCTTTTTAGAAATCAAAGCTGTCATTTATAAGCTAAGAGGATTTAAGAAAGCACTTGGAGGGACAGCATTTATATAACATGCTATAAATATTAAAAACCCAAGTCCATTAAGCATTAAGTTGCCTATTTTTATAAACAGATCATACTCACCTTAAACGAATAACCAAACCAGGAAAATCTGGCTCCCTTCTTCCATCTTTTCCTTCTACCATATCCTCAGAGCCTTCAGGAGCTTTTTATACCAGAAAATCTTTTCCTGTCCCATTATCTTACTTTCAGAAACTTCCTCTAATCCCCCCAAATATGCAACCTCCTTAACGAGGATGAGACCAGAGCCTAAGTGTGATCACTGGAAAGCTAACAATAAACCACCAGGGAAAAGATGCTCTGCTGTGCAGAATGTAAAACGAAATCTTCTGCTAATGCCCCAAAGAAGTGTTAGCAAGACTGGAAAGTAGCATCTTCTTCATGCACCCATTATGGAGGACAATCAGCTGCTAATATAAGTAAGACCTCTGTCTTAGAGATGACTATCAATATTTATTTAATTTGTTTTATAAAGAATTGCAGGTAGCTACGAATTTACATAGAAATACTAATAGAAACAGTAAATGACATTCTACCTTACTGCCATATCATACGCAATAATAAAGTTTAGGGATACTAAAGCTTAAGAATGTTATTTCATACTAAAGGTGGGCCACAATGACTGAAATAACCTAAAGAAAACTCAGTGTCCACAAATGAGTAATTATCCCTAAGATAAGAACAGTTGTTACTCTAAAGAATGTCTCTGCTTAAGCACTATTATGTGTCAGTTCCAGAATAGAGGCCTGACTCAGGTACTTGACTTTACTGCTACTGAGTCCCGTTTAGTCCATCCTTGGAAATAAATCTTTCTCTGCCCATCTTCTCCACACTCCTATAGCCCTTGTCCGGGTCCTTCTTCATGCCGAGAATCTTCACCAATCCCTTAAGCTGGTGTTTTTGAAACTATAGTTTGAAATCCAAAAGTGGGTAGTGAATTCAGTTTATTATTTCATTAATGGTTTAGACCAGATTCCAATAGAAAATATTAGAGTGCCCTGCATGTAGTAAGGGCAAGTCCTGTTTTGTCAAACTTGTGTATACATATTTTGTTGAAAATATACATAATGTGATACATTAAATATATGTGCTTTGCTTGCAAATTCAGTAAATATACATATATATGCAAACATACAAAATATTATTTCTGACTGTGAGCAGTAGCCAAAAACATCTGAAAAACACCACAGGAGCACAGTTCACAATCATCTACGCCATGCTTTCACCCACCAGTTCTCATCGCCAGTTCCCTATGCTCCAGGCTATAACCCGTCAAGGTCTGGCCTGGAAGAAGTGCACACATAGGTGAGATCAGTTTTCTGAACAGGATGGCAACTGAATTTACAGTCAATCTACTCTTTTTTGTCTTAGGCTAAGAGCTCCAAAAGTGTGTTTTTATTTTTTATTAGAATTTCAAGCTTCCCAGAAATAGGCAAAATGGACAGTGTGTTTTCTTTTAAAAAGGAGGTGGGTGGGAAGGGAGGAGGTGACACCATGCATCACATTCTACTTCTATAAAACCAAAGCTCTCTAAAAAAAATTAAAGCCAGAACCAAACCCAGCCATCATGCCCACAACTGCAGAAGCACATTAACTTATTGCACGGCGTATGAGTGAAATTGAGCATATAGACATTCTGACCTTTCTGTAATCAGCTCTAGTCAGGCGATCCCATTTGCATCTAAATTAGTACCAGAATCCTCCCTGTAATGGCAGGTTTATGTGTGTCCTGAAAAATACATTTCCAAGCTGCTAATTGTTTTTTTGTGATCTAGTCACATTGGAACAAACAGATGGATCCTACCTTCTGTCACTCAGGCAGGTGGCAGGCAGTGGGGTCAGGCAGGCAGGTGGCACCCTCTCCAAATTAGAAGCCACCCTTCCTTGGCTTTTCCTTTGATAACAGAGGAAAAAACTAGCTAACTGCTGGTTCACCTGGGTTATCAGTGAGTCATCAGCCCCAGTGGGTCCAACCAGAGTGAAGCTCCCACTGAAATCAGCAGAGGGGAAAAGAATGACAAGGCTGGATCACACGAAACAGGAGTGAAAGGGTCTTAACAGGGAACACAGGCTACGAGCCTACCCGCTGCTGCCAGAGAGAGCCAAGCCAACGGACAGGTGGGAGGCACATCCACCCACCTGCAGCCAAGGGCAGCAGCTGGAAAGGCTCCTTGCAGCCATCTTCTCCCCTCCAAGGACAAGAAGCGCCAAGAAGAACATTTAAGTACAAAAGGGAAGACAGACGCCCTGGTTCTCAGCAAGCAGCTCTACTGTTTCAGCCAAAAATTCAGGACAGAAAATGTTCAATGACTCCAGATCTGAAAATAGTCTGCAGTTGATGATTCCGGCTCCCTCCCGTCGGCTCCCCTATGCCTCCCTTCTGCTCCCCGACCTCTAGGCCACACGCTACACTGCTAGCACCGCCAGAGGCCAGCTGGGGAGGTGAATGGAGGTGACAGCCAAAGTCAGCAAGTTTGCTGATTTATTCCTAAAATATTTGAGGAAGGAGGAAACAGACTGGCTACAATGAGGATTTCAGTAACGTATTTTGAGGAAAGTGTATTAAAATAAAAGCCAATCTCTGCCCTTTTTCTCCCAGCATTTCTTCAATGGATCTGTAATACATTAAATATATTAGTATAATAAATTTATGCCTTCTGGGAGAAAAGGGAAGCAGTGAACAAATGGCTTTTCAGGGTCCTTCCAGGCCCTGAATAGTGAAACACCGCTCATCTCCCCAATGGAATTTGGAGCTGGGGTCTGTCTGCCTGGGGAAAAACCAGGTACAAGAGGCACACGTGGGAGGCAGTGCCACTCACACCACAGGCAGTGGTGGTGCTCCCAAGGCCATGTGGCTTCCTCACTGAGCGCTGCTTCCCTGGAGCTGCTCTCAATGCATTTAACTGGCCCAAATTTGAGGTACCTGAATAAACACTGACTACCCGTCCCCGAAGTACAAACTTTAGTATCTGGGATTTGGTTGATTGTTTTTCTGCATTTCCCATTTTGTTCTCAGTGTTCAGATTACCTTGTCATGAATATTGTCAAATGCTATGGATGCTGCTCCTTTGGGGTTCCTAACTTTTCCTATACCTCCTCGCAATGGGAACATATCAGGAATGGCCCTATTCAACAAACATTTATGCAGGTGTGAAAGCTCTGTACTGGGTGCTGGGGACAGAAAGATGAACAAAACACAGTTCTGAGTGTTTTGCTGTTGTAAGCAGAAGGCAAATGCATTAGTAAATTCTACTTAAGACCTGAACTTATGTGAGGTCTATATCAGAAGTTATGTTAGCCTTGCAGAGAATACGGTTGCCAGCTCTGAGCAGAAAATGAGGTTTTGAGGAAAACAGCGAGAGGAAGATAATAGAGAGTGGTTTTCAGAAAAAGGAGAGGCTTTGGAGCTACACAAACTAGAGTTCAAATCCTAACATTTATTACCTTTATAACCTTTATTGTGTTATTTAATCTAAGCCTGTTTCCTCCTCTGCAAAATGGGGATAATCAATATCTTTGAAAGTATTAAGAGGATTAAAGAGAATGTGCATAAATCTCAACACATAGAAAGGACTCAGTAAAGGATGGCTATTATTTCCTGACTTGGGTCATCAGTTTAAAATAAGCCAAATTGAGGCGAAAAAAAAAAAAAAAAAAAAAGGACCAGGAAGTCAGCGGGAGTGTTGGTGGCAAAAGAACAAAATTTGCCTGTCTGTACATATTTTCGGGGGTGGAGGGGGAAAAGTACAACCTCCCTTATAGAAAATGAACACCTCATCCATTTCCACTCCCTCCCCATTCCCTCCCAGGCATTTTATAGAATCAGAAGATTTTGAGGTGGTCACAAGGGATAGGCTACCTCAGCCCCAAAGATTCAGTGTGTCCTAGAACAGGCTGTGGTTAAGAGGGGACACAGAAACTCCCTAAAACATATTTTCATCTGTATTTGCCAATGTTAGCCAATCTAAACCTGATTCTAATCCCACAGGACAAGCTGACCAATACTGACAGAACAAGAATAAAGCTGTCATTGCCAATAAAAATGGTCCTATGTCCAATGGGCCGATGCTGCAACTAGCGTTGGCCAAGTTGAAGGGTTACTGCTTTCATCACATCCAAAGTTATTTTTGCTTGCTTATCATAAACCTCTCTCCTTGGAGGATTCAGCAAATGGCTACGTCTATAGCCTCCTTTCCTATACTATGTGTGCATAACTTGTACCCTACAGCTTCATTATGATATAATTTATTAGAGTATAATGCAGTATATGATCCATTATACTTGAACCTCATCTAATAAAGTTTAACTATTGAATACCCAAATAACCCATAAGAAAGGTAATTCATAGCATGGTCCTGAGGTAATAATTAACAAGGAAATATGGGGGCATTTTGGCTCAGAAACAAAGATCTGAGGGGTATTCCAAAGATCACTTGGTTCTTCTCTTTCTTGTTTACTAATTGTTCCACAGAGTCCTTTTTTGATTCAAACTTCTTGGTTACAATTTAAGAAACAATAAAAACAACATCACTGACCAGTTACTGAGCACCGAGTATGCAACTAAGGACTATTCGAAGCATATTGTTTCAGTTATTTGAGTCCCAACAATCTTATGAGAACTAACTCCAGATGGTCCAAGCAGAAAAGATACTTACTGAAGGGGTGTCTCACAGAATCACCAGAAGGCTGGAGAGACAGGCTTAGAAAGAAAAAGAGGTCTGGTGCTGGGCTGCCAAAACACAGACACCCACGACACCCTTCTTTCAAATTCAAACAGAGATTACACGGCTTCTTTCAGCAACACAGCTTAGTCGAGGCTCATAATCTTTTGCATCAGAAGAAAGTACTCCTCATTATAAAGGGAGATTCCACCTGCTGTAATTTAAATTGTACCTTACCCTGCCCTCATCTTAATAAGTGGTGATGGAGAAATGCTGTCCCCCCAAAACTCAACTTTCCTATTCCAGAATTCTTATTAAACCTCTCAGACTCCCCTTTTCTAGGCTGTCAGTTCCCCTTCTCAGTTTTCATAATACACATATTCATCCTTTAAGATTGCAAACTTACTGCAGAAATGACTACAACTGACCTGCAACATGAATTCTCAAAGGACCTGATGCACCACCAGGTACTCAGAGTAATCAATAAATGTGTCAAGATGGAAATCAGCAGCCCTGTTACTAATAAAAACACTGGATTTCCAACAGCCCATGTTGGGGATGCCTTCCTTAGCAGGGTAGTTATATTAATTTTACAATGCCTGAACAGCAGGGGAAATTTTCCATTTATAGTGAATAACATTTCATTGAAAATGCAGAGCGTAACTCATTCCATGCTCTTCAATTATGGCAACCTCGAAAAGTGATCCACTGGAAAAAAAAAAAAAGAAATGCTTCCTCAGGCTTCTCCCTATTTATCTTCCTGATTAATAAGACAATACTACTGAATGCTGATGAGACTGACTTTAAAACCCACAGTAGAGGGGAAATGGTCCATGGGCCAGAACCCCAACCAGCAGCTTCTCTAGAATGAAGTATCTGAGAACCACTGCAAAAACGCAGCATCTAATGCCTGCCATTCCATTCCACGCAACCCCCCCAACTCCTCCCCCACGCACCCCCCACCACCCCCTGCCACACACACACAATCTCCCTGATGGGTTAAATGTATCATTCGGCAGTGGAATTTAAGTTTAGACCAATTTTCCTAGACACTCAAACTGTAACAAAGTAACAAAGCAAGCTCTGATGATAAAAGACAGATTTCACTCCTAGCTTATTTTCCATGAGCACCGGAAAGACCTCAATACAATGGGAAGGCAGAAAACACACACATATCTGCCCAAACAAATTCAATAATTGCAGTTATTCTGTTCGTTTCTCTCTGTTGTCCCAGACCTGCACATCATCTGGCACTGGATAATCACAGAGGAGCATCCCATCAGAATGATTCCTGCTTTACCTCACCTGAAACGCAAGTCAGACACAAAAATGAGGGGACAGCAAGCCCTCAAAAAAAACTTAGTGTGCGGTGAGAGAAAATTTAGCAAGAAGATAAAATAAACAGACTAAACTCCTTCTCTGTTTTCCTTGCTTTTTGGTTTTCTTACTTGAAGAAAATCTTGCAGGGCCTTTGTTGCTGATAAATTTTTAATGTTCTCTTAGGATAGTGCAGGGAAAGAATAAAAGATTCACACCAACTTTCAGACCAGATCTTCCCTCCACTCTCTGCATTTGTTTCCAAGATGAATACCACCTGGCTGCCTTAGATAAGGTGGGGTTTTGTGTGGGGTTTTTTTTTTTTATTCTCGGTGTGTAGGGAGGGTGGGACCCTTTCTATCTTTTCATAATTCTGATGCTTAAGAACCCAATCGTTTGGTACCATTATCTCCCTCATGCACTTGTTGAAGTTAAAAAAAAAAAAAGATATCTAATTTTCCATTTCAAATCAGAGATCAATGTAAGCTTAATTTATAATGCTAATTTCCTTTCCTACAATGGAAGAGAAGTAATGGAGAGGTCAGGGATGAGGAGACTCTGTAGGACCTGTAGATCTACTCAGCCTCTGAAAATTTACTCTGTGCCTATTTGTGATAAGACAATGCATACAGTTTTGTCAGCTAACTTCTATTATTTTAAAAATATAAAACCAGGCAAGAAGAGCTATACTAGAAGAAGGGACAGAATCAGGTATGTCAGGGTCAAATGCTTAAGACGACCTCTAGGCTAGTTGAGACTGGCCTCTGAGCCACAGCCAGCCCATATAGGGCATTTCTGCAAATTAGAAATAGATCTCTTTGGGCAAAGTAGCCCCCCAAGCCCACAGTTTGGTAAGCAGATGGCTTGGCCAGAGAAGAAGGTGTCTTCTGCCAATTAGAGAAGGGTGCCTCTTCCTGTGGGTGGACACAGCCCCATGCCAGGACACAAAGTCTGGCAAATGGAACATGAACACCATCTCTCCTATCTGCACCCTCAGCAGGCTGCCCTTGTGCAGTAGACAACCTGCCCAACTCTATGCAGTGGCCCTGCAAAGCTTGTGCCTTTCCAATAATTATAATAATAGAAATTTCCAGTTTCCCATCAATGGAAATGAAATTTTGTTTACATGTAAGAAGCTTTGAGGTTTATGGCAGGCACTACTAAATGTCTCCCCAATATTTATTCTCCCTCTCTTCCTTGGGAATAAACCCTGACTTTATAATAAAAAACCACATTTCCCTGCTTCCTTTGCATCTAGATGTTACTATGTATGTTTTGGCTAGTGAGTTGTAAATAGAACTGGTGTGCAGAATATGAAAGGATCATTAAAGGGAGTTTTCTGTAATGTAAAGGGAGTTTTCTGTTATCCACAGCTAAACCTTAGGCACACCGATTCAGTGTTTTCTCTGAGTAAGAGAAATAAAATATGCTTTGTAAGTAAATTGCTATAGATATCTCAACCCCAGCAAACACTTAGAACAGTGCCTGGCATATATTGGGTGCTTAAAATATATATGTTGAATGAAATAATTAACAAATGAATGTTTTAGAACTGAAGAATACCAACTAACATTTATTCGCAGCCCATGATAAAGCAGAAATGTAACATCAAGTAACAAGTAATCTAGTAACATTCTCCCATTCAGTGTTTTCAAACTTTTTAACACTAAGACTCATCAAAATAAAAATATTTTACAATAATATCTAGTACTCACCATTACTAAGTGCAATGCACTCTGATATTTTCTATTTTATTCAACTTTAAATTGTGACCTACCAAATTGACTTCATGACTTACTCATGCAACAACTCAGTGTTTGAAATCTGTTTAAAAATATACACTAGACAGACTAACTTCTCTATTAGCTTTTCTGTTAACTAACCAATAAGAGACAACACTAACATTTAATTTTTTAAGTTAAAAACCAAAAATTGTTTTAATTTACTGGAAAAAAACAGTGGCACAAATGACCAAAACACTACTTATATTTTGTTTGCTATTTTTGTACAATAGTTAAATATGATCATGGATGTCTTGAGAAGTCTACAACATAAAGCAAGTAATAAGGCTGTCCTGGAAACCCCTCCCTGAGAGCTGGCTAGCTGACCTGTCCTTCTCAGGTATCAGCTCCCGCTTCCTGTTCCACTCTGGCACAGGGCAGCATCCTCTCTCAGCACTCATCAAAGCCAGGCCATCCTTTCTCCAATCTGGGGTTCATAACCTTCTACCCTGGGTGCTTAAGGTACTTGCATTAACCGATCTCTTTGCTGATCAGGGAATCACAAATGTGCTCCCTTTCTCAGCCAGGATTCTCTCAGGGTCTCCAGATGATAATTTAAAGAAGAGAAAAACATCATGGAGTAGTAGAAAATGGTCTGCAATGGGAATGAATATAAGACACTTGCATTTTAATTCTTAGCATCTGGTGACCATGGGCAAGTGAAGTAATATTCTGGTGTCCCAACTGCTACAAACGGAAAACAAGCCTGATGTCTCAGGCCTGCATACTATGTAATCTACCGCAGTGAGTTGACATGTGTCAATGAAGAAGGTAAACGATGAGATGTGAAGGCTTCTGTGAAAAGTGCCTTCCTCCACAGATTTTGGCGAGCACATAAAGAAGTGAGGATCTACAGGATAATAGAAAAGCACTTTGGAACACTTAGAGGACCCTCTAATGCAAACATAAAGCTACCACACAAACCTTGTAAACATAATCAAATATTAAAGAACTGAAAGATCATCTGCTTCATATCCTCTATTCCTCTCACAAATATTAAGCTCACAGACTCTGAACATTTCTTTCCAAATCATGAGCCTTTGTTTTCTCTGCTGTAAAATGATGATGAACTAGATGATCTACCCTCTCTGTTACAAAAGTCTGTCCCAAAGCATTCTTTGATTCCATGTCAGTGACATAAAACTAAGTGCTAATCTCAATTCTTTGCCCTGGTATTTTATTTTCCAGCATAACCAACACATCACTCTATTCTAATATAGTGATGAGTGCTAGCCACTTTCTTTTGACACATCTATTTAACCAACTGCATATATATTGAGTGTTTTCCAGCTGTACAATATACTAGCAGCTGAGGATACACAAAAGAAGTATAAGAAGCATTTATCCCTCAAAAAACTTCCAGCAATTGGCAGATAAAGCTCATTTGATGAACAAGTACTAAGCAGTGCAGTCCTATGTGAAAGTTCATTGGCAGTTTGGAGATAAGAGAAGTCAGCATATGCTTCAGTGCAAGGCTTCTGCCCACAGCAGTGCTTGTATTGAGACCTAACAGATGAATACACTTTTTCTTTTTTTTAAGACAGAGTCTCTCTCTGTCACCCAGGCTGGAGTGCAGTGGCGCAATCTCAGCTCACTGCAACCTCCACCTCCCGGTTTCAAGTGATTCTTGTGCCTCAGCCTCCTGAGTAGCTGGGATTACAGGCACACGCCACCATGCCTGGCTAATTTTTGTATTTTTAGTAGAGATGGGGTTTCACCATGTCAGCCAGGCTGGTCTTGAACTCCTGACCTCAAGTGATCCCCCCACCTCAGCCTCCCAAAGTGCTGGGATTACAGGCATGAGCCACCGCGCCTGGCCCAGATGAGTACACTTTGGATGAACAGGCAAGGAATGGAAAGGATAATCCAGCAGGAACACGGGAGCAAGAATGAACTGTTCAGAGGATGATGAGGGCACTGATCAGACTTTACATCTGCATTTGAACATCATGAAGGGAAGGAAGGCTCATAGGCAGGATGGGGCCACATCAGGAGAGGTTTTCAAAACCAGGTTAAGGACTCTGGATTATCTTCTGCAGGTCACAGGGACCATGATAGGTTCTTAGTGATCGGAGTGACATTTAAACCACTCCAATTTGTTTTTTTTTTTAAGTATGAATTACTACTTCCAAATTCGCTAGAACTTAGTTTGAATTTATGCAGACATGATACAGTAAAATGAAGTCTCCAATCCTCATGTGTCCTCCCACATGCAGAATCTCCTAGCAGCGTACTTCTGGCCTCTCTCTGACTCCCCATATAATTCTTCTCCAGGAAAGGAGGAGTAACTTGTCATTTTGTTGAGCTTGGGATTGAGCCTGTCCCTTCCTCTCTTCTCCTGGGAGCCAGGCTTCTAGCAGAAAGTACATATTCAGGGGAGGGCACAGAGGCTTACACCTGTAATCACAGCACTTTGGGAGGCTGAGGCGGGCAGAGTACTTGAGGTCAGGAGTTCAAGGCTAGCCTGGCCTACATGGTGAAACTCCATCCCTACTAAAAATACAAAAATTAGCTGGGTGTGGTGGCCCGTGTCTATAGTTCCAGCTACTAGGGAGGCTGAAGCAGAATGATCACTGGAACCCAGGAGATGGAGGTTGCAGTGAGCCAATATTGTGCCACTGCACTCCAGCCTGGGCAACAGAGTGAGACTCTGTCTCAAAAAAAGAAAGTACTGGCCAGGCGTGGTGGCTCATGCCTGTAATCCCAGCACTTTGGGAGGCTGAGGTGGGTGGATCATGAGGTCAGGAGATTGAGACCATCCTGGCTAACACGGTGAAACCCCGCCTCCACTAAAAATACAAAAAAAATTAGCCAGGTGTGGTGGCGGGCACCTGTAGTTCCAGGTACTCGGAAGGTTGAGGCAGGAGAATGGCGTGAACCCGGGAGGCGGAGCTTGCAGTGAGCCGAGATCGCACCACTGCACTCCAGCCTGGGTGACAGAGTGAGACTCCGTCTCAAAAAAAAAAAAAAAAAAAAAAGAAAGAAAGAAAGATATATTTGTCTCTGCTCTTCCCCACCACAGGTTCTATAATGTGTCTGGGTGAGTGTCTGTCTAATTCTAGGGTTAAATATTGGGAATGTTTGCCCACAGGAGTAAACCCTATTCTCTGGCAACAGTTTTACTGGTAATAAAGATGGTGTTTTGATCTTCCATCTGCCTCATTTTTTGTATTTCTCAACTTGTCACAACTCAGATGGGGAGGAGAGCCCTTTATACCTCAATTAAACTATACTGACTTTTCTGAAACTGCAGTACAGATCCTCAGCCGTACAAATTCAGTTTCCACTGATTCACATAAATGCTTTATACTCTAGACTGAGTGCTTCAATGAAATGGAACTGTATTCTAGACACTGCCAACTGATGGCAAATGACAGAAGGGACACCAAGACAAACTCATGGCAACACACGGGCAATCCTAACAGAGAACCCTGCACAGGAAATTCTAAATTGTAGTTGGGTCCCTACCACCCTCCTGTCACCCATTCTGGCATCTCCTCTTCCCAACTTCCCAATAATCTAAACTTTCCTTTTCTGGGTGTCCAAACTCCACACCAAACCATGACACCAGGTGTGACTTATGGCCAAAGTAATCCCCAAATTATATTTTCCCCTCTCCTCTACTAACCCCCTGTCCACACTGTTTACATAAAAAATCTGTATTGTAAGCCCTCTGAGTTAAACAGCAGGATGTACACAAAATGAGTAATCAGTGAAATGAACTATTCTAGAGAGTGACTGCATTTTAAAGGATTAATATGTGATGAGACTCTAAATTATAACAGGTTGACTATGTGAGGATGAAAATTCTGAGTATACCCTTCCCAGATGAGCCTCTGTCAACACCCCCTTGCCATCCCCACCAAAGGCTAAGTGGACATACAGGCCATTATCATCAATTACTACCACTATTAATAGTAGTTCCAGAAATAGCTACCATTTATGAAGTACCAGCTCTGTGCCAAATATTGTATTAGATGTTTTACATGTATTATACAAATTAATTCACCTTGATAGAGTAAAATGGTAGGTAGGTATTAGGATTCTCATCTTACAGCTAAGAAAAGTGAGGCTCAAACTTTTGCCCTAGAAGCACACAGTAAGTGGCAGAAGCCAGACACAAACCTAAGTCTACCTGATAATAAATTTCATGGTTTTTACAAGAATTCTAACAATTTCCTGGCATTTTTGTCCCCTGCCCTCTGAAAACACAGCAGAAATCCTTTGAAATTGAATATCTGTATCAACCATTTGGAACACGTCGTCAAAGACACTGTCTCCCATTGTAAGAGTTCAATTGATGGCGTTTTAGAGGATTTATAACCACTCCCTGCCCTTTTACCTCCCTGCCATCCTTCTGCCAACCAATTCAGCTACATTTGTCAGAAGAAAGCTGTTCCCAGTGACAGATCAGGACTTTACTGCAGAAAACAGCTTCTGCAGAGAACTCACAGAGCACCCTACTCCTGGAAACCACAGAAAGAGGTGAAATTCATTATTAAAATGATAAGAGGGGGAAAAAAGCTTTATGTGAAAGACTCCCACTTTCCTACTGTCACTGGGACAAGGGCCAACAATATAGAATCAATGCTCTCAGATGCGTACAATTATGACAATACATTAAGCTGCCACTCAGAGAAGCATTAACTTCTGGCCCTTACCGCTCCTGGCAATCCCTGAAAGTACTCACATTCCTCAAACCTGGGTCATATACAGGGACTGACTCCACCAGCACCTCTGAGAGATGTAAAAATGGAGTCATTTAGACACAATAATAACTTCATTACTCTAATCACAAAACAGTGCAATTCCTGCTCCCTGGGCCCCAGGAGAATACTGGTTATCAAATATGGATCTCCAATATTCAAATAATTTAAAAGCCAGAAAATATACACCAGACTGCCAAACTTGATTTGAAATTCAAGGTTCACAAAACTTTTTTTTTTTTTTTTTTGAGACAGAGTCTCACACCGTGGCTCAGACTGGAGTACAGTGGCGTGATCACCGCTTACTGTAGCCTCGAGGTCCCAGGGTCAAGCAAATCTCTCACGTCAGCCTCCCGAGTAGCTGGGACTACAGGTGCATGCCACCACACCTGGGTGATTTTTGTATCTTTTGTAGAGACAGGGTTTCATCATGTTGCCCAGGATGGTCTTAAACTCCTTGGCTCAAGCAATCCTCCTGCCTCGGCCTCCCAAAGTGCTGGGATTAGAGGCATGAGCCAGCATGCCTGGCCTTATAAAACTTTTTTTTTTTTTTTGAGATGGAGTCTTGCTCTGTCACCCAGGCTAGAGTGCAATGGCACAATCTCAGCTCACGGCAACCTCCACCTCCTACGTTCAAGTGATTCTCGTGCCTCATCCTCCCGAGTAGCTCAGACTACAGGCGTGCGCCACCACACCCAGCTAAGTTTTGTATTTTTAGTAGGGACAGGGTTTCACCATATTAGCCAGGCTGGTCTCAAACTCCTGACCTCAGGTGATCCACCCACCTCAGCCTCCCAAAGTGCTGGGATTACAAGCATGAGCCACCGCATCCAGCCTGCAAAACATTTTTAAGAATATCTTGTGGCAGTGGTTCTCAACCCAAGTTCCATGTTAGAATCACCTGGGGAGTTAGTTAAAAATACCCATGCTCATGCCCTATCCTGATCCAGTTAAATAATTATCTCCAGGTCTAGTGCCAGGCATCCCTTGTTGCTTCTGATGTGCACCAGGCTGTGGACCACCATCACAAAGCCTCCTGGTCATTATGACCATCAAGTACAACTACACTACACAGGTGCTAAGGTGCCACTTAAGATATTTCACTGATGGAGTAACAAAAGCTTTTTTTTGTAACCTAGTTTTTTGCTGAGCAGTACTCTGTAAATATAAAGATGACCAATCACACTCTTCAAAGAAAATTCAAGCCCAGGAGGTTAACGGGCATTTCAGATCACAGGGCAATGTCAGTGATGACAGCCCTCGGCCTGCACTGCCCATTCAGTCATCAAGTTATCCCGCTTGACAGATATTGTCTTCTACCACCTGCCACATGAGATAAATATTTTCCAGAGCATGTAAAAAGATTTAAAATCTCCATTGAAGGAAAACAAAGGAGTAATTTGAAAGCTTCTAAAACTTCATTATCCATTGGATAGTAGAATGCTGTACATTCTTGAATAAGTTAATTGTCCAAATGAGCACTAGCGGGTTTCCCAGGAATAATAGGATTTGACTAATTCCCAACTAGGATGGAAAGACCCATTACAGAAGAGCCAGTGTTTTAAATTAACGAGTACAAGAATCCAAGCACTGGTTGAAAAACCAAGATTGTAATACAGCAGTGGTTCTCAGCCCTGGTTCTATGTTAGAATCACCTGGAGAGTTACCTAAAAATACCCATGCTCATGCCTTTCCTGATCCAGTTAAATCAGTTAAATCCAGTTACCCACTTTGTGACCTGCCTTCCACCACTAAAAAGAAGCACGGTCAGTAAGGTGTCGCGTCTCTAGCACTATGAAATACAAAGTGACCCTAACTTCATTCTGTGCTGCTACTGCCACTCTCATGATAAAAAGGATTCCATGTGAGAATGTGCAGATTCATTAAATAAAAATATTGTTCCTTTCTTCTTTTTAAAGTAAGGCCACCCAAAATTTAAGCCTGAGAGCCTCTTCTTAGATCCACTAGATGGCACAAGCTCTCTTTTTCCAGCAGACTTAACAGGAGGAAAGGACATTTAAAAATTAATATGGGAGACTGAGTGCGGTGGCTCACGCCTGTAATCCCAACACTTTGGGAGGCCGAGATGGGCATATCATTTGAGGTGAGGAGTTTGAGACCAGCCTGGTCAACAAGGTGAAACCTCATTTCTACTAAAAACACAAAAAGTTAGCCAGGCGTAGTGGTGCACACTTGTAATCTCAGCTACTTGGGAGGCTGAGGCAGGAGAATTGCATGAAGCCGGAAGGCGGAGGTTGCAGTGAGCAGAGATTGTGCCACTGCAATCCAGCCTGAGCAACGGAGCGAGACTCCATCTCAAAACAAAAACAAAAACAAAAACATATGGGTACCCCCAAGCAGCCCATGCATTGCACAGGATCCTTGAGAGGAAGGGGAGTTGCTGTCTCAGAAATCTTTCTACTTTGCAATTAACAAAAACACAATAAAAATTTTCCTAAATTCTTCTTTGGGAGCTCAGGAGTTAAACCTAGGCCATGAAAGGAATAATGAAACTAAGATTTACTTCCAAGGTGCCTAATGGAAAGAGATGATACTGAAGCCTGGAGATCTGGAGATCTGGGTTAGGTCCAAGCTTGACATGATGTGAGCATAAGCAAGTCACTTAACCTCTCTGGTCCTCAATGCCTTTGTCTGAAAAATGAGGAACTGGAACTAGATAATCTCTGGAATTATGTCTAGTACTAAAGTTCTACAAATGTACATAATCATTTTTCTATCTCCAATTTAATCTCTCCACTTAGATTTGGCAAGAATCTTAAACACAAAGGAAATGTTTCATGAAATCAATCCATCTAATCTGTGAAGTTTTTAAAACTGAGATGTTATTAATTCATTTAGAGAAAAACTGATATATTATTAATTCATTTACTGAAAAACACTTATACATAGAACACCTACTGGTGCCAAGCATTGGGCTAACACTGTGTCAGGCAAAAAGGACATAGAGACAGATGAGTGCCTCACCTTTGCTCCTCCATGAAACTGAAATGGATTCTAATTTCAGACAAACAGAATGCTATCTTCAAAGAAAAAAACTAGATGGTTAAAATCTACTAGTTGTATTAAAGCATTTAACATAAATATAAATATTACACATGCTTAGTCAGAAAGTTTGATGTCTTGATAAATAACCATAGCAATGATATATTGCCAATTATTTTACCTCGATATCTCATAAGCAACTCAAATGAAAAACAGTACAGAAAAGTTTGACGCCCTTATACAATTTCATTTCTACATATAGAGAGCACATTTCAAACATCATTCTTGGAGCCATCATTCATTCTTCAGAAATATTTTTTGGTTCATTTTTCATAAAATATCTATATCTTCCTTTAAATTTCTCCAGCAGTATCTGTCTCAACTCTGGTTCTCTTTTGGACTTCCACGACATTTAAGAGTTACTAACATAGAGCACCTACTGGGTACCAAGCAACAGCCATCTCTAGCCAATCCTAAACACCACCACCCACCCCTGTGCAAGTGCCTCATTTTTCTCCCACTCCATGCCACCTCACAATGCTAGCTAAACATCAGTTCATCAACCTAACCTGACCACTACAGTTCTCATTAGTTTTCTCTCTCATAGCTACATACACACACACACACATACATACACACACACAGGCTCCTACCTAGTTACCATATCTACATTCACATGTTCATTTATTCAAGAGATGTCATAATACCTATTACATACTTGGCAATGTACTATAAATTCTGCTATATATTATAACATTTGTTCAATGAACAAATGAATAAAGAAATGTGTATGGTTCCCTACTCTCATGGTGTTTACCACCTGGTATGAGAGGTACAACATAACAAATCTATAATGATCATACCAGGTAATCTTCAAGTCCCACTTGGGTGATGCCAGCAAACTCTAGAGAAGTGAAGAGTTATTGTCTATGCCTGCACTGATCAGGAAGAATCTGGGAGGTGGCATGCAGTCTGGACATTGGAGGATGAGAAGATTTGGATAAATGTAGTTGGAATAGATGCTAAATATAGTTGGCATCTCAAGTGGAAGAAAGGCATAAGCATGGGCATTTAACTAGAAGGCTGGAATCACACTCAGGGTATAGCAAATGGCCCAGAATAGCTGGAGAAGTGAGTCTACAGAGAAGGAGGTAGAAGGAGCTTTGGGATTAGCCTAGGAAAAGATTCAAATGGTTGGGTTCTACCAAGTCTACACCTCTGAGTTATTTCTCCTAATAAACCTGATTTCTACAATTCTCTACCTGTTTCCTCCTGGCAATATGCCAAATTTGATAAATTACAGTGGAAAGATGATATACACAGAGCCTCTTCTTAGATCCACTAGATGGTGGCATTATGGGGTGGCATGGAGTGGGAACAAAAGAGCTGTTTAGTCATCTAAATCTATTATTTTCCCAACAAGTATGTAACAATAAAAACAAAAACAGTAATAAGAGTTAACTCATACACATTGTTCCAGGCACCATTTTAAAGTATCAACTCATTTACTCTTCACCAGTCCTATAAGGTAAAGCATTATTATTATTGCCCCTATTTTACAAATGAAGAACATGGCTCAGAAAGATTAAGTGCTCTACCAAAGGCACAGAGCTAGCAAGTGGCAGAGCTGGGAAACCAATCCTGGTAGTCTGACTCTAAAATCCACATCATATTAAATCCTTCACAAAAAACTTACTCACTAGATACCACTACATCTAGGTTCATGTCAATGAATAAATGTGCCTTCCTCTTTGCTCTCTATTTTAAGTTTACTTACTTAAGACAGCATTTTTATTTATTTTAGTTTTTTGGGGTTTTTTGTTTTTTTTTGGCACAGCATTAGATACAGCATTAAAGTGATGGGGTGCCTCAAGATACTATGAAGTTGGCTGTAGGCCAAGGTGATATAGATCCTACGGCCAATTAGTTCACTACTTGTTGTGTGATTATGCAAAATGAGAGGAAAGATCTGGTCTTCCAGTCACATAACAATATGCCCAGGTATCAGCTGAACACATGCCACGTGCCTTACAGGGAGCCTCCTTGTCTACAAAACATTCAAAGACACAGTGCTTAACTACACTGGAAACTCAGCACAAGACTTCAGATAGTAATTACAGATATTCTTTAAAAAAAAAGAAGCAAATGTTCCAATTGCTTCTATTATATTTCCACATTCTCAGAGGCTTTCCACCATAAACATTTGTCATTTCTTTATGTTCTACAGTTGGTCCACAGTATAGCTCTGGGATAAATAATGGATTCTTGTAGGTTTTTCTACATGTGGATGAAGAGAAAGCATATTTGTATATAGATCTAAATGTCTGGGTACATCATCTTTCCACTTAATAACCTAGAAAATGGGAAGTGAAAAAAAGTAATAATGGTTATACTCAGCTGAAGAAAATCTTCCCATCACATCTTTATTATGTAACTTCAAATTATAAGGAGCACTCTTTTCCCTCCTGCCCATAGCACCAAGGCATTTGGCAGGACTGGGTCAGAGGTAGAACAGTGGTATCTTATAGTATTCTGTGATATACATGACATCACTGAGTGGCCAGTATTGCAATCCCAAGCTGATAACATTTCCATTCGAAAAAAGTTTTATGGTATCGAAATCACTGTCCACATATCTTAATAGCACCACACAGGAGAGCAGGGTTGATTTCATAGTAATAAATAATGACACTTGGCCAGCATCCTGAACAATGGGAGGTACCCCGCTCAATCAAACACTACTCACACATTAGAGGCCGAAACACATTCTTGGAACCCCTAATATTTAAGAACCCAACAATCTCCTTTCACTACTCGCCTTTAGATACTACTACTAAGTCTTAAGTTATATGAAATATTTTGAGATTCCTTATCTCCAGTTTAATACCTTGCTCATTTGGAAAAGGCTTCACCAAAGTGCTTTTATCTGACATCATCTGATGTCCACCACAGTCTTGGGAGGCTGACAAGGTGGGGATTACCATAGAAGACAAAACTGAATCCTTAACTGGGTTAAGACCCTTGACAGCACACATAACTAGAACCCCTGTCTTCTGAATCCTAGTTCAGCGAAGGAGCATTAATAGCAGAAGTGCCGGCACAAGGGCATAGATCAGTGCTCCTCCAAGTGTGGTCACTGGAGCACCTGGGTGCCGGCTCATGTGCAAATTCCTGGGCCTCAACCCTACCTATTAAAGCAGAATCTCCGGAACCCAGGAGTTTGCAATGAAGAAGTTCCCCAGTAACTAGCTGCACATTCAAGTTTGAGAACATGTGACACTGAGAATTAGAATAAATAGGAAAACAATTATATAAGCAACTGAGTTGATACCACATTCTGAGAGAAATAAGAGAAAATCAAAAGTTAGGGGTCGGACGTGGTGCCTCATGCCTGCAATCCCAGCACTTTGGGAGGCTGAGGTGGGTGGATCACTTGAGGTCAGGAGTTTGAGACCAGCCTGGCCAACATGGTGAAACTCTGTCTTCACTAAAGATACAAAAATTTACTGGGCATTGTGGCATACGCTTGTAATCCCAGCTACTTGGGAGGCTGAGGCAGGAGAATCGCTTGAATCTGGGAGGCAGAGGTTGCAGTGAACCGAGATCATGCCCCTGCACTTCAGCCTGGGGAACAGAGTGAGACGCCATCTCAAAAAAAAAAAAAAAAAAAAAAAAAGAAGAAGAAAGAAAAAGAAAAGAAAAAAGAAAAAGAAAATCAAAAGTGATGCTGGCTGTGAAATAATGTAAAAGTATGTTAAGGAGCAACAAGCATATTATCTAAAATCAAAACACTATAGTGACCAAAAATGGTATAAAATTTATTGGCTAGTAACACACAGTGTCATGTGAAGGATGTCTCACTTTAGAGATTCAGCTGGTTACTTAAATAAGTAATAATAGGTAGTATGTATTTAGCACTAAGTGCCAGAGACAATGATAAGCACTTTAAATGCATAATCTTACTTAGTCTTTACAAAAGCCCGATAAGGTAGGTATTATTATCCCTAGATTATACATATACACCAATGAGAATACCTGCCACAGGCACATAAAGTAGCAAAGAACTAGACTCAAACCAAGGTCTTGCTAACTCAAAACCCATTTCTTGAACTGTCAAGCTAGGCAGCTTCCCAAAATTGTATCAGTTGAATATAATGCATTAATTGAATATATTAGATGGTACACACTTTTAGTTTTCAATTAATCAAGAATTCCCAAGTCAAAGCCTCTTACACTTGTCACTAAAATTTTCTAGATCTACTTAATAGCTGGCTGTCACTGGATAGAGAAATTATTAATTTAGTCTGTCTAAAACTGGCCTGCTTAATATGATTTTTTCAATCCAGATTTAATAGTGCTACCGTCACTCCATGTTACCTAGTTGCAGGCCCACAACAGGACTGGGCCTTTTAATTACCTCGTTCAATTGTGTTTACTGACTGATTATAGTGATGGTTACATCTGGCCCTCTGCTTCCACGGTACTCTTCTGTTTAAGTCCAGGGGAACTGAGTAGACAGAATGATTGCTTGGGCTCCACCACTCCTATCCCAGCTGAGCCAGGCTCCTTAATTATGGCTCCCTTGGTTACAACTGGATCTCGGACAGCATCTGATAAGGGTGTAAGTGTGAGATGGTACCAGGGGCATTGAGCTTTCCTGCCAAGTTTAAGAATCCCCAACTTCCCCAACTGCTGGGTGGCTCTAAATGGAATACCTGTCTGTCCCGGAACCAGCGCCTGCCTGTAAAGCTGTGGAGACAACAGCAGCACCTTCTAAGAAGAACCACCTCATTTCTGCAGGACATTGTTGGAATCCCCCTAACTTCTTACCAGACCAGCAGTCTGTGGGCTGAGGTGGGCACATAGGTATGCTTTCAGCGCAGTGGAGAATACAATCTAAGTCACTGGTTTACTCCAAGCATGGTAAGAAACAGGCAAAGTTCCACATGAACAAATACAGCTCAAGATTATTACAAGAAGAGGAAAAAGCAGCTAGCAAAAATAGAACAAGACAATGTTCAGGAGCCTTCAGTGATTAAAAACCATGGGTCAATAAGGTTGACAATGTTTTGTGGGGTTTTCTGCAAATTATTGAAATATATAAGTAGAAATATGAAATGCAGATATCAAAAAAAGTATTCCTCTGTATCTTTTAGTTTGGTTCACCCCAGAGATGGTGCCTCGTTTGGGGCTCAACTAAGTCAAGGGAAGCTACAAAAGATTTAGCAAAGAACCACCAAATTTAAAAAACAAAATCTAAAAATTCCAAAGCCAAGGTGGCATCTTACATTCCATGCTTTTGATTCCTTCTTCCCATTTTCCACTGAAAGGAATGACATGATCAGTGAAATTCCACAGCATTATAGGAAACCAGGCATAAAACTTCAAGACGTTTTTCCTCAGGAAGTGGCACAGATGACAAGTGACAAAGAGCAGAGACCTGCTGAAGCATCCAAAAATCCAACGGGAAGTCTGCCAGAGAACAAGTAAGAGGACTTGTGTCTACCCTTCTCCTACTCCAGAACCCCCGCTACTATCTCCCAGACTAGAGAGGCATGAGGAAGAACGGACAGGAGAAATGAAATTAAATCATGGTTGAACAGCATGCTGTCCTGCCCACTCCTCACTATGACATAAGCGATCAGTGTATTCCTCCTGCAAACTCAGCACCCAATTATAGCCCGTTAATATTTTATAATGGTGATAATAATTTGAAGATGGTACTTAATTGCTCTTAAAATCTTCAGTCACTATTTTCACTGGGCATAAAAGTCCAAAATATGCCTAGCCAGTAAGAGCCAAACTGGGCTCTACCGGAGTTCCAGCCTGCCCGCCCACATACACACTTACAGCAAGTGGGCAACTCACAAGTGTGGCTGCTCTCAGCCTCTCAAAATTTCCATCTTTACTTCTCTAGTCCCCAAAAAACTTCCATCCATCAACCTAAGTCAATAAGCCATGAATTATTGAGCTTGCAGGATGCAGATCATGAATACGTATGTGCATGTTTGGAAGACAAGCTTGTAAAACAAATGGGCTCCACGGCGGCTTATATGAACCCAGCACACATGCCTTTAAGGAAATGGCTGAAATTATTCTACCCATGTATGTTGTTCAAGCATGGTTTCAGCACAGAAGAGATGGTGGAAAAATCAGTTTTTCTGGTAGACTTTTTGCTTCTGTCTTTCCAAGTGCTCTTGAATGGAATAATTTGTTGAATGAAACACAGCTGGCTGCTCTTTGCATAAACCAAAGGTGCAGGCTTTCTTTGTGGTCACAGTTATCATTGCGAATGCCTGTGAGCTGCCTGCAGAAGGGATGGTATGTAATTATCTTCCCTTCCATCTACCTCTTACTTCAGCACATTCACCTCGATGTCTCTACCTCTATCCACCAGAGATAGTCCCAAACTTTTGCCATAATTTGGTAACAATCTCTTTTTAAAAAGGAGCAAAACAACCCACTAAACAAAAGACTACCCTACCCTAGTTCACAAGACATTTGACAGAAATAATATGACTGAGCCTGAGGTGCTACTTATACAACCTTTTCCCATCCAAACAACCTAACAGTCCCCTCTTTCTAATCCTGCCAGATCCAGGACAAGCACTGAAGCCATCTTTGGCTGCAACTGCCAACTCTCTACGGGTCTCCCACCAGCCCAGGATCCTGAAACAACATATCTGGATGGAGATTTTCCCAAGCTAATGACAAAACCAATTAGACTGCTTCACTTGTTTTTGTCTGCTACAAACCTCATTTCCTGTTTCACATCAATTTTTGTATGATACTTGTTCTTAAACACAGAACCCAACAAAAACTCATTTTTATTTATTTATTATTATTATTAGTATTTTTTTTTTTTGAGATGGAGTCTCACTCTGTCACCCAGGCTGGAGTACAGTGGCGCGATCTCAGCTCACTGCAACCTCTGCCTCCTGGGTTCAAGCAATTCTCCTGCTGCAGCCTCCTGAGTAGCTGGGTCTACAGGCGCCCACCACCATGCCCAGCTAATTTTTGTATCTTTAGTAGAGACAAGGTTTCACTGTGTTGGCCAAGCTGGTCTCAAACTTCTGACCTCAGGTGATGTGCCCTCCTCAGTCTCCCGAAGTGCTGGGATTACAGGCGTGAGCCACCATGCCCGGCCCAAAAATTCATTTTTAAATTGGTAAGACCAAATTGAAAGTAATGAATATGATTTCATGCCAAAACTGCAAATTATTTTGAGCTGTTAGTTCATGTGGTGTCCAACAGATGTCACTGTGTTTCCCTCACAAACTGAAAATATCTCCTAGTACCCCTGTGAATTAATTGAAAAGCCCCAGGGCTCCTTGGTGCACTGTTTGGGAACCACAGATGCAGGCCCTTCCAGGGGTTTCAGGAAAGAGCAGGGAAGCAGGGTCAAATGCAAAATCACCTAACAATAGAAAGGAGCACGTGCTCAGAATAACATGGGCACCGAGAGCTGCCAACTCTAGGGAACAGAGAAGACTAGAACCTCCAATGTAAGGGACAGCTGCAGGAGGCTGTGGGATTTAGGCTGGTCTTTGAAGAAAGAGTAACTCTTGACCACAGAGGAGGAAGGAAGAGAATGTTCCAAGCAGAGAAAACGGACTGAGTATAGGAGAGAGGCCTTGAACCAAGAATGAGAATGGTACGGAGTCAGGGCTGTGACACAGCATGTAGACCAAGAACATTGTAGGAAGTGGAGCCACTTAAGGTTTCAGAGGAAGGATGATGTGTTTAGAAAATTTAATCCAGCAGTTTTGTGTGAGATAATCTGAAGAAAGAAGTTGCAGTAATGAGACCATAAGTGAAAACTAACCCTGGTCAAGATATGTGGAGATGAAGACCCAGAGTGACACTATTGGGAGAAGAAACAAAAAAACAGACTCAAGAACCTTGCAGGAAAAGGTTGGCACTATATTTGGGAAGATTAAGAGAAAAAATTCAAGGATGATTAAGAGTTCTATGCCAGGTAAGTGGGAAAAGTGATATTATTCACAAAAAGAAGGTATGCAGAGGATGAATTAAGCTAGCCTCGGGAGAAAGACATTATGAGTTTGCCTCCTGACATTTTAAGTTTGAGGAAGCAACAGGTCATTGAGATGAAGAGATCTAGCCAGTGGTCAAATACTCAGCCCCAGAGCTTTTTAGGCCATCTGTGCAGAGCAAGGATAGCAATCATGAGGGTCAATCAGTGCAGGAATAGTCCCTGAGGCATGCCCACATTTAGGGAAAGACAACATCCAGTCAGCAGAGCAGACAGACCCTAAGGAGAACTAAGAGAGTTCAGAGTGTGGCATCAAAGGGGGAAAAGAGGAAACCCGGGTCCAGGGAGTCAGAAGCCCCAGGGGTTGTTAATAAAGCGATTCTTTACAATCTCTCTTTTTTTTTTTTTCAGACGGAGTCTCGCTCTGTTGCCCAGGCTGGAGTGCAGTGGTGCGATTTTGGCTCACCGCAACCTCCACCTCCCAGGTTCAAACAATTCTCCTGCCTCAGCCTCCTGAGTAGCTGGGACTACAGGCACATGCCACCACACCTGGCTAGTTTTTTGTATTTTTTAGTAGAAACAAGGTTTCACCATATTGGCCAGGCTGGTCTCTAACTCCCGACCTCGTGATCCACCCACCTTGGCCTCCCAAAGTGCTGGGATTACAGGCGTGAGCCACCGCGACTGGCCACAATCCCAATATTTTTAAGCAAATGCTAAGTGCATTTATTAGCCTGGTGAGGAAAAAGCTGGGTATAGTCCTTAAGGGAGAAGCAGTCATCTCTTTTAGGTAGTGTAGAAAGGTTTTATAGCTAGAAAGCAGGACAATCCCTTATCTCTTAAATCTTGAATCACTTGTGTCTGTCTTTTTCTCCACACCTTTCCCTTCTCTTGAATCCCCTGCCTGTTTTCTTCTGTTCATCACCACACTACCCAGAATGCCAGTCCACACTAAGCGGCATTATTTTGTCACCACCAGATGGTTCCTGAGCCCCTTATCTGACTCCCTCTGCACTGCTTACTATGGATATCAATGTTCACCTGCCTTACAAATCACATTAGGGTCTTTTCTCAGTCCTCGTGGTCCCTCACCTCTTTTGGACATCACAGCTCTCCTGGCGTACTTTCATCCAAACACACTCCTCCACGCCCTCCCTACCTGCTCACCTTCAAGGTTCGGCACAATGTCACTCTCTCCCTCCCCACCTGCCCTGGCTACTTTCTCTGTCACAGCACTTAGTTTTTCTTGCTTAAATTAACATGTCAGTCTCCTGGGTCCCAGATTATAAACTCCATGGAGATGACAGAGTTTTTCAGCCACCTTCATTTCCCCATGGAGTCTGGCAGTACTTTGCACCTGGTGCACACTGACTAAATGGTCTTTGAACAAACAATATTATCCTTTTACTGCATATGAGATGGCAGAATCTGTCCTGCAATAGTTATGATAATACCTTTGCATATAACAGTATATGATTTTTCAGAACACACTTATATTTGATTTTCATACCCTGTAAGGAGGAAAGAGGAGGTCTACTATCCTCATTGTACAGCTATGGAAATGTGATATGATTTGCCCAAATCTCATCTTGAATTGTAGCTCCCACAATTCCCACATGTCGTGGGAAGGACACAGTGGGAGGTAAATGAATCATGGGGGCGGGTCTTTCCCATGCTGTTCTGGTGACATTGAATAAGTCTCATGAGATCTGATGGTTTTATAAATAGGAGTTTCCCTGCACAAGCTCTCTCTCTATGCCTGCCGCCATCCATGTAAGATGTAACTTGCTCCTGCTTGCCTTCCACCATGATTGTGAGGCCTCCCCACCCATGTAAAACTGTGAGTCCATTAAACTTCTTTTTCTTCCCAGTCTCAGGTATGTCTTTATCAGCAGCGTGAAAATGGACTAATATAAAATGTGACTCAAGGAGGTTGGAAGCTTTGCACAAGTTCACACAGCAGTAGTAAACAAAAGAGCCAGGACTAGAACCCAGATCTCTTACTCACAGTCTAATGCTCTTCCACTGCACACCCTGACTCTGTATAAATTCATGTAATAATAAGCCTGATTTGGTGATGGCTACCTATGCTTCAGATATTCCTTCATTTATTCATATCTAGTATGTTGTTAGCATTTCTACCCGTCACATTGGAGTCCAACTCTGATTTTAGGTTCCAGAGGACAAGGATCAATAAACAGAATGAGGCAGTAACTATAAGCTATAAAAAGTAGATTCACTAATGTGTTTCTAGAAAATTTTAAGCTGCAATTTACTTATGCATTAAACCCAAACACACTCTACAGGAACCATATCTACCTTCCAATTATTGCTCTAAGATGCTGATACTGGTAAATAAGCATGCTGATGGCTTCCAACGGCCCCTCTAAATCTACTCTCCACCTTTTCCACCTTGCCCTATGCCCCCCCAGTAGACCTGTATGGACCTTTTTCCCATGGTTCCCTTCCATATGCTTTCCACTTGGGTTCACCCAATGGGGTTCCAGCAGGAGACTGGAAGGAAGAAGAAGGAAACTTAGTTATTTATTCCCCTGACTCCCCTCTGAAGGGTTGCCTCAGGCAGGTTGTAACCCATGACTGAAGTTCATGGCTCTTATCAGGTGGGCCTCTCCACATATGTCTCTTTGACCCTTTACAGCACATTCAGACTTAGGGGTGGCAACTGTGGTAAACCTGCCCAGAATATGGCCACAAATTCTTTAATACTGCTACTATAAAGAGGTGGGGTCTTTGTCCTCTTCCCTTGAAATTGAGTGGTCTCTGTGTGACTATGAACAATGAAATATGGCATAAGGGATACTCTTCCAGGTTCCCCAGCCTTAGGAGACTAGCAGCTTCTATCTTTTGCCTCTTTGGCACACTCACTCTCGGAGTCCTTGGAGTTCAATCAGTACAGGAATCCAATTACCGGAGGCTGCCATGCTGTGAAGATGCCCAAGCAGCCCTGTGGAGAGGCTGTGTGGAAGGAGGGAAAGAAGGAGAGAGAGAGAGATCTAATCAGCCCCAACCTGTTCAGGCCCCAGCCTGCTGAGGCCCCAGACATCGCAGAGCAGTGATGAGCTGTCCCCACCATGTTCTGACTGCATTCCTGAACCAGAGAATCATGATTTATACTAATAACCAATGGCTGTTTTAAGTCACTAAGTTTGAGAATAGTTTATTATACAGTGCTAGATCACTGAAACAACACACTGTTGTAACCAGTCCACTTACTAAGCTCCCCTCACTACCCAGTCTGAATGCCATCTATTCCTTCTGGGGCCCTGACTAAATACATAACATATGACAAACATTAGGGCTGATAATCATATTCTAGACTTCTCTGCTTCTGAAAAAATGGCAGAACTGCACTTCGCCCTGAGGTCAGATGTGGCCTAGTGACTTGCTTTGCTTTAGACAATGAAATGTCAATAGAAATGATATGTGTTACTTCCAGATAAAAGCTTCAAGAGCCAGTGGGCCATTCACAAGGTTCTCTTCTCCCTGACATCACCTTGAGACCAGTGATATCAGTTCCGAATAGTGGAGGCTCTATCAACTTGGATCCCTGAGTGAGGATAACATGGAGAAAAGCTAGCTACAAATTGCTCAACCCACAATCAAGATGCAGTGATGATACAATGCAAAGATGCAGTGATGATGCAATGCAAAGATGCAGTGTGAACAAGAGACAAACATCTGTTATTTCAGCCCCTGAGATTTCAGTGCTGTTTGTGACTACAGCATAATCATCATGACTGCTACTATAAGCTCCTCTGTCAAGCTAATCCTGACCGAAATGCCCCCATGCATTAGGGGTCCATTTGAACTCCTGAATATTCTGTACACCAGGAAAGAGGTCTCTATAATAAGCAAATATATATAACCATCTTGTACACATCTATAATCAGAAAAACCATGGAAATCCATCTACCACGTTAGTGGCCTTGGAAATGCACCTTGCAGACTTCCAACTACAGGGAGCATTACTGAGCTGGGGCCCCTGCTGCTAAACTCTGGAATCTTCTCCACATTTGCTCTGAGGCTACACTTCCTACAGGTTGTTCCCAGCCAGTGACTGGAAGCACTGAGTATAGTAAGCATACTAAGGCAGGCCTGTTCCTGAGAGATGCAGGCCTCTAATAGCCTTTCTCAGACTTTTCAACAGTCTAGGACACTTCCAGCCAGCCTTCTCTGCCTCTGTCATCACTTGGGGTCAGATTGGTGTTGCAGTCTGAAAGCTCTCCCAGCCTTCCCCCATCTTGCTCCTATTTTCTCTCACACAGGCATTTCCCCAAATAAAATCCTTGCACATTCAATCCTATCTTGGCATCTGCTTCTCTGAGAACCCAGACTAACAGAACTATACCAATGAATATTCAGCCTTGAAAATTTAGCTTTGACAAATTAAACATACAGAGACAACAAAACTAGCTCTTGTTGAATAAGGGCCGTCCCATTTATCTGAAGTCATAAATAACCAGTTTTGCACAAAATCATATCCGTATCTATAGCTGGATCTAATTCCTATATTACCTATGTTAACATAGTATCATTTTATTTAATATGACTTTTACAAAGTATGATTTTGACCTTAAATTAAAAATTTATCCTTTCCCATATGTCCAAAATAGGCTTCCAATCCCTTATCTCAAACCCTGGAGACCATGTGTATTTTGGAATGCAAAACTTTAAGAAAAGTAATGTACATCTGCCATATTTGACAGAACCTCCCCCAGTGGGGCTGGGGGCAGCACCTATAATCAAATACATTACTGTTTTTTCTACACAACATACAAATATTAACACAAGTGAGTTAAAAGTAAATAGCCTCGAGGTGGTTCAAGTAGGGTTCAATACCAAATGAGTTCATCAAAAGTTAGGTTGTGAACCAAGTGAGTTGTAAGAAAACATTCAGTTTCCAGAGCTTTTGAAGTTTACGTTGTGAATAAGGAACTGTGAACCTATTCACACTATAGAAAACTATGCAGCCCCTTAAAAAAATCAGAAATCTCTGGTTCAGAAATGCTGCAGAAATATTGTTTAAGCATGAAATTATTTATATTATTTATGAGACAGAGAGAATAGGTTCACCTCTGTAAACTGCCTACGCTGATGGCAGGTAACTAAAATGTTATGCATAAGTTGAGAGAATGCATAAGGCTGAGAGAATGCACAAAGAAAATTTATTTAGGATACTAAATAAGCCTCATAGAATAACTAGAGGTGGCTGGCAAGATAGCAAAATAGGAACTACTCCAGTCTGCAGCACCCAGCAAGATCAATGCAGAAGGTGGGTGATTTCTGCATTTCCCATTGAGGCACCCGGTTCATCTCATTGGGACTGGTTAGACAGTGGGTGCAGCCTACCAACGGCAAGCCAAAGCAGGGTGGGGCATTGCCTCACTGGGAAGCTCGAGGAGTCGGGGAACTCGCTCCCCTAGCCAAGGGAAACTGTGAGGGACTGTGCCGTGAGGAACAGTGCATTCCAGCCCAGATACTACACATTTCTCATGGTCCACAACCCGCAGACCAGGAGATTCCCTCAGGTGCCTACACCACCAAGGCCCTGGGTTTCCAGCACAAAACTGGCCGGCCATTTGGGCAGACACTGAGCTAGCTGCAAGAGCTGTTTTTTTTTTAATACCCCAGTGGCGCCTGGAAGGCCAGTGAGACAGAACCGTTCACTCCCCTAAAAGCAGGGCTGAAGCCAGGGAACCAAGTGATCTAGCTCAGCAGATCCCACCCCCATGGAGGCCAGCAAGCTAAGATCCACTGGCTTGAAATTCTCGCAGCCAGCACAACAGTCTGAAGTCGACCTGGGACACTCGAGCTTGGTGCGGGGAGGGGCATCCACCATTACTGAGGCTTGAGTAGGCAGTTTTCCCCTCACAGTATAAACAAAGTCACCTGGAAGTTCGAACTGGACAGAGCCCTCCGCAGCTCAGCAAATCTGCTGTAGCCAGACTGTCTCTCTAGATTCCTCCTCTCTGGGCTGGGCATCTCTGAAAGAAAGGCAGCAGCCCCAGTCAGGGGCTTAGAGATAAAACTCCCATCTCCCTGGGAAAGAGCACCTGGGGAAAGGGGCAGCTATGGGCACAGCCTCAGCAGACTTAAACCTTCCTGCCTGCCAGCTCTCAAGAGAGCAGCGGATCTCCCAGCACAGCGCTCGAGTTCTGCCAAGGGACAGACTGCCTCCTCAAGTGGGTCCCTGACCCCTGTGCCTCCTGACAGGGAGACACCTCCCAGCAGGGGTCCACAGACACCTCATACAGGAGAACTCCAGCTGGCATCTGGCGGGTGACCCTCTGGGACGAAGCTTCCAGAGGAAGGAACAGGTAGCAATCTTTGCTGTTCTGCAGCCTCCACTAGTGATAACTAGGCAAACAGGGTCTGGAGAGGACCTCCAGCAAACTCCAGCAGACCTGCAGCAGAGGGGCCTGACTGTTAGAAGGAAAACTAACAAACAGAAAGGAATGGCATCAACATCAACAAAAAGGACGTCCACTCAAAAACCCCATCCGAAGGTCACCAACATCGAAAACCAAAGGTAGATAAATCCACAAAGATGAAGAAAAATCAGCACAAAAAAGGCTGAAAATCCAAAAACCAGAATGCCTCTTCTCCTCCAAAGGATCACAACACCTCGCCAGCAAGGGAACAAAACTGGACGGAGAATGAGTTTGACAAATTGACAGAAGTAGGCTTCAGAAGGTGGGTAATAACAAACTTCTCCAAGCTAAAGAAGCATGTTTTAACCCAATGCAAGGAAGCTAAGAACCTTGAAAAAAGCGTAGAGGAATTGCTACCTAGAATAACCAGTTTAGAAAAGAATGTAAATGACCTGATGGAGCTGAAAAACACAACACGAGCACTTCATGAAGCATACACAAGCATCAATAGCCACATCAATCAAGTGGAAGAAAGGATATCAGAGATTGAAGATCAACTTAATGAAATAAAGCATGAAGACAAGATTAGAGAAAAAAAGAATGAAAAGGAATGAACAAAGCCTCCAAGAAATATGAGACTATGTGAAAAGACCAAACCTATGTTTAATTGGTGTACCTGAAAGTGACGGGGATAATGAAGCCAACTTGGAAAACACTCTTCAGGATATTATCCAGATGAACATCCCCAGCCTAGCAAGACAGGCCAACATTCAAATTCAGAAAATACAGAGACCACCACAAAGATACATCTCGAGAAGAGCAACCCCAAGACACATAATTGTCAGATTCACCGAGGCTGAAATGAAGGAAAAAAATGTTAAGGGCAGCCAGAGAGAAAGGTCAAGCTACCCACAAAGGGAAGCCCATCAGACTAACAGGGGATCTCTCTGCAGAAACCCTACAAGCCAGAGGAGACTGGGGGCCAACATTCAACATTCTTAAGAGAATTTTCAAGCCAGAATTTCATATCCAGCCAAAGTAAGCTTCCTAAGCAAAGGAGAAATAAAATCCTTTACAGACAAGCAAATGCGGAAAGATTTTGTCACCACCAGGCCTGCCTTACAAGAGCTCCTGAAGGAAGCACTAAACATAAGAAAGAAAAACCAAAACCAGCCACTGCAGAAACATACCAAATTATAAAGACCACTGACACTATGAAGAAACTGCATCAACTAATGGGCAAAATAACCAGCTAGCATCATAATGACAGGATCAAATTCACACATAACAAATATTAACCTTAAATGTAAATGGGCTAAATGCTCCCAATTAAAAGACACAGACTTGCAAATTGGATAGAGTTAAGACCCATCAGTGTGCTGTATTCAGGAGACCCATCTCATGTGCAAAGACATACATAGGCTCAAAATAAAGGGATGGAGGAATATTTACCAAGCAAATGGAAAGCAAAAAAAAGCAGTGTTGCAATCCTAGTCTCTGATAAAACATACTTTAAACCAACAAAGATCAAAAGAGACAAAGAAGGGCATTACATAATGGTAAAGGGATCAATGCAACAAGAAGAGCTAACTATCCTAAATATATATGCACCCAATAAAGTAGTACCCAGATTCACAAAACAAGTTCTTAGACACCTACAAACAGACTTAGACTCCCACACAATAATAGCGGGAGACTTTAACACCCCACTGTCAATATTAGACAGATCAATGAGACAGAAAATTAACAAAGATATCCAGGACGGACTTCAACTCAGCTCTGGACCAAGCAGACCTAATAGACATCTACAGGACTCTCCACCCCAAATCAACAGAATATACATTCTTCTCAGCACCACACATATTCTAAAACTGACCACACAATTGGAAGTAAAACACTCCTCAGCAAATGCATAAGAACGGAAATCATAACAGTCTCTCAGACCAACCACAGTGCAATCAAATTAGAACTCAGGATTAAGAAACTCACTCAAAACCACACAACTACATGGAAACTGAACAACCTGCTCCTGAATAACTACTGGGTAAATAATGAAATTAAGGCAGAATTAAATAAGTTCTTTGAAACCAATGGGAATAAAGACACAACATACCAAAATCTCTGGGACACAGCTAAAGCAGTGTTCAGAGGGAAATTTATAGTACTAAATGCCCACAGGAAAAGGTGGGAAAGATCTAAAACTGACACCCTAACATCACAATGAAAAGAACTAGAGAAGCAAGAGCAAACAAATTCAAAAGCTAGCAGAAGACAAGAAACACCTAAGATCAGAGCAGAACTGAAGGACATAGAGACATGAAAAACTCTTCAAAAAATCAATGAATCCAGAAGCTGGTTTTTTGAAAAGATTAACAAAATAGATAGACTGCTAGCCAGGCTAATAAAAAAAGAAAAGAGAGAAGAATCAAATAGACACAATAAAAAATGACAAAGGTGGCTGGGTGCGGTGGCTCACACCTGTAATCCCAGCACTTTGGGAGGCCAAGGTGGGAGGATCATGAGGTCAGGAGATCGAGACCACACTGGCTAACACGGTGAAACCCTGTCTCTACTAAAAATACAAAAAATTAGCCAGGCGTGGTGGCAGGCGCCTGTAGTCCCAACTACTCCGGAGGCTGAGACAGAATGACATGAACCCAGGAGGCGGAGCTTGCAGTGAGCCGAGATCGCACCACTGCACTCCAGCCTGGGCAACAGAGCGAGATTCCATCTCAAAAAAAAAAAAGACAAAGGGGATATCACCACTCATCCCACAGAAATACAAACTACAATAAGAGAATACTATAAACACCTCTACGCAAATAAACTAGAAAATCTAGAAGAAATGCATAAATTCCTGGACACATACACCCTCTCAAGACTAAATCAGGAAGTAGTCAAATCCCTGAACAGACCAATAACAAGTTAACTAATGCCTACCAACCAAAAAAAAGCCCAGGACCAGACAAATTCACAGCCAAATTCTACCAGAGGTAAAAAGATGAGCTGGTACCATTCCTTCTGAAACTATTCCAAACAACAGAAAAAGAGGGACTCCTCCCTAACTCATTTTATGAAGCCAGCATCATCCTGATACCAAAACCTGGCAGAGACACCACAAAAAAAGAAAATTTCAGACCAATGTCCCTGATGAACATCGATCTGGCAATGCCGAATCCAGGAGCACATCAAAAAGCTTATCCACCACGATCAAGTCAGCTTCATCCCTGGGATGCAAGGCTGGTTCAACATATGCAAATCAATAAACCTAATCCATCGCATAAACAGAACCAATTACAAAAACCACATGATTATCTCAATAGATGCAGAAAAGGCCTTCAATAAAATTCAACACCCCTTCACGCTAAAAACTCTCAATAAACTAAGTACTGATGGAATGTATCTCAAAATAATAAGAGCTATTTATGACAAACCCACAGCCAATATCATACTGAATGGGAAAAAGCTGGAAGCATTCTCTTTGAAAACTGGTACAAGACAAGGATGCCCTCTCTCACCACTCCTATTCAACATCATAGTGGAAGTTCTGGCCAGGGCAATCAGGCAAGAGAAAGAAATAAAGGGTATTCAAACAGGAAGAGAGGAAGTCAAATTGTCTCTGTTTGCAGATGACCTGATTGTATATTTAGAAAACCCTATCATCTCAGCCAAAAATCTCCTTAAACTGATAAGCAACTTCAGCAGTCTCAGAATACAAAATTAATGTGCAAAATCACGAGCATTCCTATACATAAATAATAGAAACACAGAGAACCAAATTATGAGTGAACTCCCACTCACAATTGCTACAAAAAAAATAAAATATCTAGGAATACAAGTTACAAGGGATGTGAAGGACCTCTTCAAGGAGAACTACAAACCACTGCTCAAGGAAATAAGAGAGGACACAAACAAATGGAAAAACATTCTATGCTCATGGATAGGAAGCATCAATATCATGAAAATGGCCATACTGCCCAAAGTAATTTATAGATTCAATGCTATCCCCATCAAGCTACCATTGACTTTCTTCACAGAATTAGAAAAAACTACTTTAAATTTCATATGGAACCAAAAAAGAGCTTGTTTAGCCAAGACAATCCTAAGCAAAAAGAACAAAGCTGGAGGCATCACACTACCTGACTTCAAACTATACTACAAGGCTACAGTAACAAAAACAGCAGGGTACTGGTACCAAAACAGATATATAGACCAGCGGAACATAACAGAGACCTCAGGAATAATGCTACACATCTACAACCACCTAATCTTCGACAAACCTAACTAAAACAAGCAATGGGGAAAGGATTCCCTATTTAATAAATGGTGCTGGGAAAACTGGCTAGCCATATGCAGAAAACTGAAACTGGACCCCTTCCTTACACCTTATACAAAAATTAATTCACGATGGATTAAAGAGTTAAATGTAAGACCTAAAATCATAAAAACCCTAGAAGAAAACCTAGGCAATACCACTCAGGACACAGGCATGGGCAAAGACTCCAGGACTAAAACATCAAAAGCAATGGCAACAAAAGCCAAAATTGATAAATGGGATCTAATTAAACCAAAGAACTTCTGCACAGCAAAAGAAACTAGCATCAGAGTGAACACGCAACCTACAGAATGGGAGAAAATTTTTGCAATCTATCCATCTGACAAAGGGCTAATATCCAGAATCTACAAGGAACTTAAACAAATTTACAAGAAAAAACCCCACCAAAAAGTGGGCAAAGATTATGAACAGACATTTCTCAAAAGAAGACATTTATGCAGCCAAAGAACATATGAAAAAAAGCTCACCATCATTGGTCATTAGAGAAATGCAAATCAAAACCACAATGAGATACCATGTCACGCCAGTTAGAATGGCAATCATTAAAAAGTCAGGGAACAGCCGGGCGCGGTGGCTCACGCCTGTAATCTCAGCACTTTGGGAGGCTGAGGCGGGTGGATCACAAGGTCAGGAGATTGAGACCATCCTGGCTAACACAGTGAAACCCCATCTCTACTAAAAATACAAAAAATTAGCCAGGCATGGTGGCGGGCGCCTGTGGTCCCAGCTACTCAGGAGGCTGAGGCAGGAGAATCGCATGAACCTGGGAGGCGGAGTTTGCAGTGAGCTGAGATCGCACCACTGCATTCCAGCCTGGGCGACAGAGTGAGACTCCGTCTCAAAAAAAAAAAAGTCTGGAAACAACAGATGCTGGAGAGGATGTGGAGAAATAGGAGCACTTTTATACTGTTGGCGGGAGTGTAAATTAGTTCAACCATTGTGGAAGACAGTGTGGCAATTCCTCAAGGATCTAGAACCAGAAATACCATTTGACCCAGCAATCCCATTACTGGGTATATACCCAAAGGATTATAAATCATTCTACTATAAAGACACATGCATACGTATATATATTACAGCACTATTAACAATAGCAAAGACTTGGAACCAACCCAAATGCCCATCAATGATAGACTAAAGAAAATGTGGCACATATACACCATGGAATACACCATGGAATACACCATGGAATATGCAGCCATAAAAAAGGATGAGTTCATTCCTTTGCAGGGACATGGATGAAGCTGGAAACCATCATTCTCAGCAAACTAACACAGGAACAGAAAACCAAACACCGCATGTTCTCACTCATAAGTGGGAGTTGAACGAGAACACATGGACACAGAAAGGGGAACATCACACACCGGGGCCTGTCAGGGGGCCAGGGGCCAGGGGAGGGATAGCATTAGGAGAAATACCTAATGTAGATGACGAGTTGATGGGTGCAGCAAACCACCATGGCACGTGTATACATATGTAACAAACCTGCACATTCTGCATGTGAATCCCAGAACTTAAAGTATAATAAAAATACAATAAAAATAAATAAAGAATTAAAAAAAATAATGCTCATGTCAAGGCAGTGGACATGGAGTATAGGAAACACAGACAGGAGTCCCTCCAGTGGACCTGAGCCCAGACTTCTCGGTATCACTCCCCATACCAAAGGGGGAAATACAGGAAATGGGATATGACTGCTCTCACTGGGAACCCCTCAAGAAACATCCAGTTCTAGACTTCTTTGTTCATGTGCTTCTGATTTCCTGTCCTGCCACTCATGAAATGGCTCCTTTCTTCATCAACCACATAAGGAGCCAAGAGCCAGAGGAGAGGCTGTTCTCCTTCCCTGGCCTGCTCCGTCCCTAACCCTATTCATCCTACATGATAAAAAAAAAAAAAGCAAACCAACAAAAAACAGACAGAGAACAGGGAGAAAATTAATTAAGAAGGAAAAAAATTCATCTTTGTTCTCCCTAGTTGCTATATAGCCCTGAGACAAATTGTCTGCAATGGATACAAGTTAAGGAATCTTAATTAGGGGTTGGAAATTCAAACCTAATACAGTAACATTCGCTTCTCATTTTACATATTCAGCATTGACTCTTTTTTATTTTTATAATAAGCATGTATTAACTTTATGGCTTTAAACTTTAAATGTATTAACTTTATGGTTTCAAAACTCTCATATTTTAATTATGGGCACAACTGAGGATATTACATAATATATGTAAAGAGCTAGATCAAATGTTAGCAATTATTCTCTTACAAACCACTGTCTGGGAAGGTACTAAGTGCCAGCACTCTGTTGGCACTTTAACAAGCATTCCATTTGTGTGTTGTTTCTTCAGCCTCCTAAGTCTAAGGTACTGTGCTCAGCATTGGAGATATCCCAGTGAATAAAACACATGTGATAATATGCCATAACTGAAAGCACGCATACCACTGTGGAGAAGACATTAAGCAAGCAATAGCACATGTAATGATTTAACTTTACCTGTACTAAGTGATATGAAGAAGTAGTGTGTGGTGACCAGTAAGATCCTCGTAACAGCTCTCTGAGGTGGCTTTCATCCTCAATTATGAATAAAGAGCTATCACTAATGTCTGTAACACTAAAGTGTGCTAATCATAATAACATAAAATTTCCTGAACAAATAGTAATTATAATAATTATCACTATTATAATAATGACAGGAAATGTTTATGTCAATAGGTCATTGAGGAAAAGGATGGAAATAAATGAAGAAGAAAGTCTAAATGTGTGAGAGCATATATGGATAATTACTGCCAAAGAATTTCTATAGCACTCTTGTGTTCCTCCGAAGAGGAAAATTCTTCCATGCAGAGGCTTAGAGGTCTTCAATGCAAGATACCCATTCCATCCCTGGAACAACAGAATACTGACAAACATAAAGTTAACCTAGAAACAAATACAAGTTCTGTATTTTCCAGAGTTAATCCCTTATTTTCCAACAGAGATCTAATTTCACAGACTTGGTTCCTTTGTGCCCATAAACTACTAAAATAACATGGAAACCTCAGTATTTTTATGTTTAAACCACATCAAAGATGACCTCTTGAACCTAGAAATAACATAAAAATCCAATTCAAACCAAGTACCCTGTTTGGCTTGGAAAACATGGCCACTATGCTGGAGAGGCACTAAATAGTAAAGGATGAACATCTTCTGTCAAGATCTGCTCTAAACCAGAAACCTCATCAGCTTGGATGGCAAGGTTTCAAAGTTGCCATAATCAAGTATTTTTGGATTCTGTAAAATAAAAGTCCATAGAAATTGAACTTCAGGATGCAGAATGGTGGGCATTCCATCAAAACAACATATGATCAAGTTGCTCTTTGCTTCTGTCTCTGCTAGAGGTATGATTCCAAAATCTTGACAAAGATCCCCTGAACTAAATACTGCACACGTCTCTTTACTTAGTGAAGGAAAAACAGAAAATCAGAATTCTAGGCCTAGGAGTGTCTCCTGACAGCTCACAATGGAAAAGATATCAGTTGATTTATTATACAAAATGAGAGAGTCATAAGAAATTCAGTTGTGCTAATGAGACAGCCAACATTTGATGGGACCTTAATTTGGCTCCACTTTAATTTTTGCTGTCACAAAATTGTTACAATAAAAAATTATGTTTTATTAAGTAGATGGCAAATCTATGGCACTTGTGCTACCACTGCTCCTCTCCATGCCCACAGCAGACCTTGCATTCTCTATGACAGACTCAGCCTTGGAGAACATCTTGACAGTTCCAAGTTGCCACTGCCCACGAAGTGAAACAGGCAGAGTCAGAGTCTATCTGCCAATGTTCCTTTAGGCTGACTATCCTACTTGACACTCACAATACTGTATTCTATGACACCAGATAGAACCATCAGTTTAAGCTGTGGCCATTTTAATACCTGTGTTTGATATTGCTAAGAAATATAGACGGAATGAAAAGAAAAATCAGGCTAAAATCACCATCAAATCAATTACACTGTGTTTACCCTCCTCAGTGTCCATCACTTGTATTATAGAGACAGAAGATTACATGAGCCAATCACTGACCTTATGGAGAGCAGGAGCCAAGACTGGTACCAAAAATCCATTGTAAATGTAATTGACAAGCTGATTTCGAATCAAGGGGTGAGCCACCTGAGAGAGAGGCACATAGGCATGAAAAAGGCAAAGAGTTCAATCTTCAGTTCTTAAAATAAAACAATTCTGTGTACATCCTGAACTCAAAAAGGAAATCCACATTTTGGCCATTTATTCTGTGATTAAAGAACAAATCAGACCTCATACTGTCATATAAGCCTTTCAAATAGCTTATTCCAGTATAAACACCTTGGTTAAAATCCGCAGAAGTTGAACTTTCAAACATAATATTGGTAATTTTAAACTGCGTATTTGGAAAAAAGACAATAAATAGACTGAGTATGTATAAGGATTCATACTTACACATACCATATCCAGTGTGTTAAACATATCCAGTTTGTTAAAGTTAACAAACTGGAAAGTATAATTTTTGCCCCTTACTTTCTTCTAAATCACATCTCAACCTGTAACTAATTTTAAAAACTGAGTATAACTGTCAAAACAATTAAATACATTTATTTTGCTAGCAGAAAACATTTCCTCATTTTAAATATGTATTTCCTGATAGTCATTTATATTAAAGAAAAGGCATTTAAAAATATTTTCAGAAAAATAGATAATATTCAAAAGCGGAAAACATTATCAGAAGTACAATACTTCTCATATTTGATTTCCAAAATATATTTAGTGTAGATAACCCTCTACTAATATCTTTCATAAATAACCTTTTCAGTAGCTTCCCCAAACAAAAAACCTTAAAAGTATATGGTTTCGATGTCAAAATGCAGTATGAAATAATATAATTTCCCTGTTCTTACCATGCCCATTAGCTTTATTTCTCTTTCTTTAAAAAAAGAAGAAAATGAAAAAGAGAAAGAAAGTCAAACAATAAAGTAAAAAGCAATTTCTAGGAAAGTGAAGCTAGATCTTCAAATTACTGATAATCTCTCTGTGTGTATATATTTTTGGGGAAGAACTAATAGTAGTTCCATCTTTTTTATTTCCACAAACTTCTGCAAGAAAATGTTGATAGGTTGATAGACTGCAATATTAAAGGAAAAAATAAGATGTAATCCATTTTTCTTATATATAAATAAAACTTTCTTTGACTTAGCAATAAAAATGAGATGGAACTAAAATAATTTACTTGTATTTTCTTCCAGAAGCTATTTCTTTATTTGGTAGATAAACAGATTATAACTAACATCTTTCATCCTACAATCACTATAAAGAAAACTTGATTTCTTAGGAGATATACCTAATGCTAAATGATAAGTTAATGGGTGCAGCACACCAAAATGACACATGTATACATATGTAACAAACCTGCACGTTGTGCACATGTATCCTAAAACTTAAAGTATAATAATAAAAAAAAAGGCCGAGAAAAAAAAAGAAAGAAAACTTGATTTCTTAATAAATCTAATATTAAGGTAATATTTATGCTATATGGAACTAAAATATTTTTTATGAAAACTTACCACATCCTTAAATATACTTAAAATCTGATTTTTATTGAAAACAGTAACAACAAATCTAAAGGTAAAAATCTAATCAAGAAGCCAAATACACAAGAATTCAGTGGTTGCTTTTTTCCTCTCCCAAACAGGACAATTTCAAAGAGAATTTAATTTGTGTTGCAATGAAAATGCTTAACTTCTTCTAAATTCAATCAGGATAACAATATTCTTTATGTAGTATGCGCCATTAAGCAAAATAAAGTGTTCTCCTTTGTAAATTCCCAAGAAGACCTTGAAGTAAAAGCGGTATAATCTGGAGTACTTAGAAACCTAAAAATAATCTATTTAATGAGTCAGGCATTGAACTTATTTTTGATGGTTAAGTAGATAATCAAAACAGAATTAATTTATAAAGAAGATAAAGAAAATCTACTCATTTTTTTTCTCAGTTAAAACTTCCAGAAACCTACAAACTAACATTTTCACTCATTCAAGGACATTCAATTGGCTTAAAGCACCAATATTCCATAAACATTTATTAACATTTTAAAAAATGAACGTTTTAAAATTAATCCTTTGCAGTGCTTGTGCTCTGAATGAAGCCATAGCAAAGGGATCCTTTATTGTGCTCTGGTACCTGTATGACTGCATTGCAAAACTCCAGGGAGTTCATGAACTGGACAAGAGAAGGAAGTAGAAGCCAGTCATCTTTCAGAAGGCAGTGCCATTCCTCGCCTTTCTCTTCTAGCTTTGTAGGCAGGGAAGAGTAGAGACCACTGAGCCCAGTTGCAAGTACCTGTGTTCAGAAATAAAAACAAAATAAATGCTTTTCCAAAGTTCTCAACCTGCAATTAACAGCTCACAGGTGATGCCAATGCTGCTGGTCCCAAAACTATATCTTTAAGTAGCAAGGTATTAAAGGTATAAGAGCCCGTCAGCCAGCTAAAAACGATGCAAACAGGTGAAGACAGTAGGGAAGGACAACTCTGGCAGAAGGAATGGCAATATCAGAACTATCTGGCTAATATACACATGGTTGGTATGGGTTGCTCATCTCTCATGTGCCAGGCACTATGCTGGGCTAGGTGTAGGAGGAGTACACGCAAAGATGAATAAAATATTATTCTGGCCTCAAGAAGTTCAGGAGAGGAACAAATTCATAAACAGTATCCTATAGTACAATACATCAAGTGCAAATACAGAGAAGGCACATACCCCAGTCTAGAGGAGAAACTCCTGTTTTGAGGTGGTCCAGGACAGAAAGTCACATACATTGGAACCATGAGCTTTATGGGAAAGATTCCATGCAATTCCTTGCATGCTTGAGGTCACGACTGACAGCTGCATGTTTGCAGTTTACAAAGCACTTCCACGTATATTTTCTCATTTGATCTTCACAAGCAATAGCAAGGAGAAAGAATTGGGGGTCAGCAATCAGTTAGTTAGATGTGATGACAAGATTCAAGCAGAGATAAAGTGAGTCTACACGGAGGCATCAGCACTAGGAAAAGAGAGGAGGAAATAAAATTTGAGCATCACATGGAAGGTGAATATGAGGGTGATCTAACCATGACATCTATCGGTCTGGCATTAATCCAAAACTCTTAGGGCTTGCTTCCTCCCTTAGTGTTCTGGTCCTTAATTTAAATTGACAGCCTTTGGGCTTGGTAAGTGGGGTAAGAACTCAAAACTGTCAACTTACCCAACTTGGTCACCAAGAAAATGGTGATGCCTTTAATAGAGACAGAAATGTAGGAAGATTACATACTTAATGCTGAGTGCTTGTTGATTTTACCTTGTGGAATATCAAACCAGGGATGCAATGAATTTCATAGTACTGGAGGCCTCCCAGCTGGGAAGTGATACTGACTAAGCAGCAACTTGGAGATCCTGACTTGCTAGATATGTATAAGATGGCCAGGGATGGCACAGATTGAATGCAAAGGAGCCAGCTATGGGGCCAGGGGTGGTGGCTCATGCCTGTAATCCCAGCATTTTGGGGAGCTGAGGTGAGTGGATCACTTGAACCAGGAGTTTGAGACCAGTCCGGCCAACATGGCGAAACCCCGTTTTTACTAAAAATACAAAATTTAGCTGGGTGTGGTGGCACAAGGCTGTAATCCCAGCTACTCAGGAAGCTGAGGCAAAAGAGAATCCCTTGAGCCTGGGAGGCGGAGGTTGCAGTGAGCCGAGATTGGACCTACTACACTCCAGCCTGGCCGACAGAGCTGGAGTGCCTCGAAAGAAAAAAAAAAGCCAGCTACAAAAGGCTTTGCTCTAGCACAAACCCTGAGGTGACAATGGCCTCGAATGAGATGGAAACATTCAAGAAAATATAATGAGGCAGGCCCAGAAAAGAAATAGTGACATACTCATTGATCTCACTGTCTAATGAGAGATTAACGGGCAATTAAAACAGTGTTAGAAATGCTCAGAATACATAATAGAAAATATATGGTGTTGTGGATTTACAAAAGACTCTTACTCAGATTTCGAGGGTTGGCAGCAGGAAATATTCTCAGAAGAAGTGATATCTAAGCTGGTGAAGAGTACGTAGGAGTTAGCCAGAAAAAGAGTAGGGGGAAGAATATTCCAAGCAGAGAAAACAGCATATACAAAAGCTCAAAGGAGAAAGAAAAGATGGTATTCTCCAGGAACTAAGAGAAGCACAGTATTGTTAGAGTGCAGAATTACAGGTAGAAAGAGGCTGGCAAGGTAAACGGGAATCAGATCCTGCAGGGTTTTATAGGACAACATGAGGAGCGTGTGGGGCATCCAAATGGAGAGCCCAGTATTCAGATACGTGGGGCTGATGCTTAAAAGAGAGCTCTGGGCTAGAGACGGAGCCATCAACATGTAGATGGGACCTCAAGCCATACGAACCAGACAGAGAAGGAAAGGGAGATTTAGACAGATGAGATATGACAAAATAATCCACAATGCCTGGCATCACAAACAGAAAGTCAGAAGGAGGTGTGGGCCTAGGTATGTTAAACTTGGAAAAAAATTATCTGTAGACCTATTGTTGCCTTCCTTTTCCCCTTGTCCTGTTCCCACAGCACTCTCTGTATCCCTCTGTGTAGCAATCATCTTTCTTGCATGTATTAGTGTATTGCCTATCTTCTCCATCTCTCCTGGTCTGACTTGTTCATTCAAGTCCACACTGGAGGTATGGATGATTTGTCCAGTCAGGTATGTTGAGTTTCAGATGTTAACATGGAGAGACCATATGAAGTCATGGGAGGGCCTAGGAGGGGTTGGGGAGATGGTATAGGAGCCCCCAGTGGAGTATAAAGAACAAGAAGACAAACAGATGAACCATTTCAGTACTAGAGAAATCAAAAAAATAATATACATTTCTCTGTTCTATTTCCTGGCAACCTTTAATCATTCATTCATTTACTTATTCATTAAAAAAAATACCAAACACTTATTTCAGGCCAGGTACTATGTTAAGTACGGAAAATACAACCGTAAACAAGACAGTACATTTATCTCTTTTTAAAAAATCAGGGCATCTTTGGTCCCAAAGGAGAATGTCCCCTATTTAAAGTGAACATACCCATACAAATCACTTTAATTCCAGTTTTGAATGTGACCCAAATGAGTTGCTTCTTATAAATTAGAAACCTCTGGCAAAAGAGAACAGAGACCAAAAGTTCTCCTCGAAGAGAAATCTAATCTTGATGCCACATTTTTTTAAATCAATTACATTTGCTAACTCATGCTAAATTAACCACAGAACAAAGGCTTTAATTCTGCATACTCCTGAATTCTTAACCACTTTGAGGCTCTGAGGATGAATTCATAAAGACAGGCTTAATTTGTCTGACTAAAAAGCTGGGAATAACTACTCAGTATATCAATATAATTATAGCAACATTAATTTTCAAATTACATACATCAGTGACAGTAATTAAAAATAACACATATGTAATATTCACTTTTTAAAATGAATATTGTGAAAGGGCATGGCTGAGATGTGAGCAGAAGCCTGCCCATCCAGAAGGTAGTCCCTGTACAGAAGGATACTCTCTATGCATAAGGATACTCCCGGAACAGAAGGACATTGTCTGTACAGAAGTGACAGCTGAATAAGAAGTCCTGCCATGTTCCTGCCACTACAAAAAGTGCCTCTGCTATCTCCTTCAGAATGGCAAAGAAACAGGGGAGAAAATATTCTGCGGAATAAAGAGTATTACATAGTCTTAGAAACAAGATTCTAAATCTTTATGGTATTTATATCCTCCCTTCCTAGACTGCGCTCAGAGTTCAGATTCATTCACCCAGACTGCACATATTTCTAGAACACAGACTGTGGGTCAGACATATGCAAGATTGGTCCTGGGGAAAGAGTAGTGAACAAGTTGGACCAGGAAAGATGGAGAAGACGGCTGATAAACTAATACAGGCAAGAAAGATAATTACTACCCAAGGGGATACGGAGTGCTGTGGGAACAGGATAAGGAAAAAGAAAGATTCCAACAGGTCTGTAGCTAACTTTTCTAGGTTAAGAGATGAATAGCACATTCTATTTACTTTTAAATTTCATTTTTTAACTTAGAATTAAATTATTAAAAGTTTAAATATAGATGTATTCAACAGCTCATTTAAAATAAAATTCCCATCCACTATTTTAGCCTTTCATTGATTCTTGGATTCCCATCCACACACACAAAAAAATTGCAAAACATTCTATTTATTCCCAACACATTAAGCATTAACCCATTTTTCACTTATTTGCACTTATTTTTCACTTATTTTCCCTCAAGAATCTCTTTAAAAGAAACTAATCACCATGTAAAACCACAAGGATAACAACAGACAAAAAAGCAAACAACTTCCCTGGCAGCAGTATAGTGTGGCAGTTGCTGAGACCAAGGACTTAAGTATCAGACAAATGCAGTTTTGAACCAGAATCTGCCACTGACAGGCAGTTATTAAAGTTCTCTAAATTTCCATTTCTTCACTAAGTTGTTGCCAGGATTAAAGAAAATAATGCATCTACCAAGATTAGCATAATGTTTTACGCACAGAAATGTTTCCAATGAAGGAAAGAAAGATGACATACAAAAAAAAAAAGAAAGAAAGATGACATGCACAGAGCAGTGAATGAGTAATGTTTAACTTTAAACATCTAATGATATCTGGTTAATTTTAGCAAACACAAAGATTTTTGGCAGATGGCTTTAGTCTGAAGCTCGCAGCATAACACCTGGTAGGGACTATTTGATACAACTTGCTAAAACAAAAAATCTCATAAATTTTGGATACGGGATAAATAACATTCTACCTGTGGCTGTGTACCTAAAGGTCGCTTGCTTTAATTTGCATCACTTGATTTATGTACACACTGTTTTCTACATTTGCCAATATATAACAGTGGCATGGGCTTAACCATCAATATTTGGTTTTAAAAAAAAAAGTGACAGGGTCATTTAGTCCCCATCCTTTTGTTGGCACCAAATTGTTCCCTAGAGTATCTTCAATCTCCTTCTTTTCCTGGGAAAGCACATCTTGAGCTATGAGGCAGCAGAACCAGCAAGCTCTTCCTATCAACTATAACAGTAAAGGTTTCCAAAAGTGGTCCGATTTCCTGAAAGAGTCATTACTGTTCCAACAGCCTGATGCTAACACACTTTGACAATCATACTAATTAGAGAAACCTTTTTCTCAATTGTTGTCCTTAGCTGGATGGTTAATAGAGTATGCTTTTATCTTCAACATAAAGAGGGCTTTTTTTTTAATTATGTTGTCAGATGTAATTATAGAAAACTGGGTACAAATGAGATTATGGGATCTATCCTGAGGGGCAACTTAACACAATGAAGCTCGTGTTCCATTCTAGCAAACAAGGTCAGCTGGAGATGTTGTTTTCCCTCCAACTTTAATGATCTGTACAGTGTTTTAAAATATGTTTTTATAAAAGCAATGCTCAACTAAAATCTGCTTATGATGCAGTTAAATGGAAATCTTCTTGTCATATTTAAATTTTTAAATTATGAAATATGAAAAATATATAAAACATAATAGAAACCCATCACCAAGTGTTTCTTCAGAACACTCTGATTTTTTCAAACAATAAAAATTACAAATAGAACTGCACCCTACTCCAATCTCATTACCATCCCTTCCCTTCCTTCACCCCCAAAAAGCCACAGTCTTGAACTTAGCATATATTATTATCCTTGTGGTTATTTTGTACTTCTACTGTATACATATGTATCCAAAAAACAGCATACACTAAGATTCTGTGTTTTAAAATTTTATGTAAACTCTGGACGGGCGCAGTGGCTCATGCCTGTAATCCCAGCATTTTGGGAGGCTGGGCGGGCAGATCACTTGAGGTTAGGAGTTCAAGACCAGCCTGGTCAACATGGTAAAACTCTGTCTCTACTAAAAATACAAAAAATTACCTGGGCGTGGTGGCACACGCCTGTAGTCCCAGCTATTTGGGAGACTGAGGCATGAGAATCACTTGAACCCGGGAGGCGGAGGTTGCAGTGAGCCGAGATCGCACCACTGCACTCCAGCCTGGGTGACAGAGTGAGACTCTGTCTCAATAAATAAGTAAATAAATAAATAAATAAATAATTCAACATGTTTTTTGATTTACTGCTGTTCATACATATAGTTACATGATAATACACATGATTCATACACTTTGAATGCTGAAAAGTATTCCACTGATGTATGAATAAACCAGTTTATCTTTCACTTCACGTACTTATATTTTTCTGTTTTTCAAATCACTGTTTTATTGAACATCGTTGTATATGTATCTTTGTAAATAAGTGCCAGATTTCTCCAAGCCAGATATCTAGAAGGGAAGTTGCAGGATCACACAGTAGGCAAATATTCAGTTTTACCAAACATTGCCATACTGCTTTCCTGAGTTACTATACCAATTTATATTCTCAAAAGTTCTTGTTTTTTTCACTCTTGACAACACAGTTACCACTTAATACTTACTACTCTGATAAGTATTAACTGGTATCTCAATGCATCACCAATAGTGGGACAACTTAACACAGGTCCCTTGCTGTAATGCAATAAGTACATAGCATCGCTTGTAAAGTAACCTTGCCAAAAATATTTAACCTAAATTTAACTGGGCATGTAGATCTAAGTCCAATTTGCAGGAAATGCAGGGTTAGGGACAAGTCAAACTACAAAAGAAACAAACCCAGAATGTGGGGTGTTTTATAAGATAATGGCTTGGTCTCTTAAAAAGTCAATGTCATGGGGAAGAAAAGTGGCAGGTTGTTACTATATTAACGGAGACTAAAGAGACCTGATAGCTAGATGGATATCTTTTATTGGACTCTACAAATGGGGAGAAAAAAACTATGGAAGTAATTTGGGGCACAGTAGGAGAACTGGATACTAGTCGTATTAAGGAATTATTGTATAATGTTCTTAGGTACAATAACAGTATTGTGGTTATGTGGGAGAATATCCCCATTCATAGGAAACACAGACTAAAGTATCTAATGTCTGTAACTTAATTTCAAATGGTACAACAAAAACAAATAAAAGCATAAAATACCAAAGGATGGCAAAATATTAACAACTTTGAATCTAGGTGGTGTGCAGTGTTCATCTTAGTGTTTTAAGTTTTCTGTATTTTATTTTTTCTCATAATAAAAACTTTTTAAAACATAAATTGCATCAACTTTATAATTTGCAGGAATGTCTCATCTATACACTATCTACAAGCTGTAGAGCTTTCCATTTATTTAGATCTTTTATGCCCTTTATAATTTTCTCCATAAAGGCCTTTCATGTATTTGTTGGATTTATTTTAAGATATCTTATGATTATGTTGCTTTTGTAAATGGTATTTTCTAAATTGCCTTTTGCATACTGATCAAGTGAACCACCTGAATATTTTGATTTGTTACAATACCTGCTCTCCTTTAACAGCAGAATTACACAATTGAATTAAACAATTCAAATAAGCTAAAACCCAAACCACGTATAGCTCCCTCTCAAAACTGCCGTTTTGAAGAGGTTTTCTTTAGAGCAGTTTAAGGTTCATGACAAAACTGAGAGGAAGGTACAGAGATATCCCACATAGCCGCTGCCCCAACACATGCACAGCCTCCCGGATTATCAACATCCCCTACCAGAGTGCTACATTTGTTACAACTGATGAACTCACAGTGACACATTATAGTCACCCCAGAAACCATAGTTTACATGAGCGCTCACTCAGTGTTTTACATTCTATGGGTTTGGACAAATGTATATTGACATGTACCCACCATTCTAGTATCATACAAAGTAATTTGACTGCCATAAAATTCCTCTGTGCTTTGCTTATTCATCCCTCACCCTGCCCCAATGCTCAGGGGAAAAAAATGATCTTTTTACTGTCTCCATAGTTTTACCTTTTCCAGAATGTCGTATAGTTGGAATCATACAGTAGGTAGCCTTTTCAGATTGGCTTCTTTCACTCAGTAATAAGCATTTAGGTTCCACCATATCTATTCATGGCTTACCAGCTCATTTCTTTTTAGCTGAAAAATATTCCATTATCTGCATATATCCCCACTTTATTTGTCTATTCACCTGCTAAAGGACATCTTGGTTGCTTCCAAGTTTTTGGCAATTATAAATAAAGCTTCTATAAACATCCATGTGCAGGTTTTTGGGTGGACATAAGTTTTCAACACCTTTAGGTAAATATCAAGGAGTGCAATTGCTGGACCACATGGCAAGAGTATGTTTAGTTTAGTAAGAAACTGCCAAACTGTCTTCCAAAGTAAGTGTACCAATTTGCATTCCCATCAGCAACAAATGAGAGTTTCTACTCCTCCACATCTTGCCAGCATTTGTTGTTGTCAGCGTGGCCCCTGCACACTAACTGACTGTTGAACTCCCACTCCACCCCCCCATGTTCCTATGACAACAAAATACACTAAAACTAGTGGTCATTTTCTTGCTGAGAAACAAATTACTTTGTGAAACTAGCAGTGGAGGTCTTATCACATGCCATGATTCCTTGGAGCAAAATCAACCTGAAAAGCTAAGAATCAGAAAGCACAGGTTTTACCAATCTCTCAGGATATGCTCCTGGAACAACTAAAATCATTCTTAATGCAGTAAAAATTAACCAAAAATGGTAACACATCTAGCCTCCTTTGTTGGCTTATGATGAGCTGATGCTGCTCAGCCAAATAGCGTCTCAACTTAGATTCGTCTGCTCCCTCCAAAGATTTCCTCTAAACATCCTTCCATAGGAAGTGCCAAGTACAACTTACTGGGAGAAAAAAAGGGAGTAAGAAAGTATTCATCACTAGCAACAGAAGAGAAAAAAGGGAGTGAGTGGAAAACATGCCAAGGAAAGAGACTTACTGGACAAAAGTAGGTGTTCTCCACGATGTGATGGGCCACCATGGTGTTCTCAGCAGAAAGAGACATGATGAAGAGCAATGCATCCCGAGCTTGCTGGCCTACTGACCCCTCTCGGTGAATGAAGGGAATCAGAAGGGAGAAGATGAGGAAGTTGGCAGCGCCTTGGTCTTCACTAGTGTGGAAGAAGAGTTCTAAAATGGATGGATCTTTGGCAAGAATGGAACAGAGCTGATTGAGTAGGACAACCAGCTTCTCCTCCACAGTGGGGGTGGTTGTTCCTGAACAAGAGCTCAGCAACATCATCAGAGGCTTCAGAATGGGTTTGTGGTGCAGCAGAGGCTGGTGCGACTGGGTGACCAACATCTCATACATCTTTAGCTGCTCAATTTTAGTCTCATCAGTAAACTCCCTTCTCAAGCTCCAAAGGAAAAGTTTCTCCATGATGTTCTCAGAGACCACAAATTCCAGAATCGGCCCCATTGCAGCATCTTTGGCTTGCTCTTCAATCAACAAGAAGAGCATGTGTTCTACGTAATTCTGCACGGCACTGGCCTCATCTGGAGGGATAGACCCATATTTTGCCTGGGTGTTCTTCAAGGGGTCGTGCTTCTCCAAGATTTTCACAACCTGTAACCAAGTCAAGCATTTGTCATCCATCTGATGTTTATCATAATTACAAAAACATATCACCACTGATTTTACCAAATTGTCACCAAAAATGCAGGAGCCACTGCCCACAAGATATGTGTGGGCATTGTGTGTGTGTGTGTGTGTCTCCCTCTCAAACACTAAAATGAAGGAGTTAAACTATAGAAAGAAGATGTCTGAAGATGTTTACTTACACAGTTATAAATTTCAACAATCTAAATATTGAAGAAAATAGTATGGTTATATAAATTAAGCTACATGCATTCTTTGGATTATTTATTATGAACATAACTGAGGAAAATGAGAAACTGTAAGTGATATGTTAGATGAAAAAAGCAAGCTATTCGTAGATGTTAGATGCATAATAATTATGTCAAAGACGTATGTAAAAAAATATGCAAAAAGAATCATTTTGATGTTCAAAGTCGTGACAAATTCTTAAATTTTTTTCTAGATTGTTGATGTATAATATTGCTTTTTAATTTTAAAATACATTAAATAAGCAAAAGGAAACCATACTACCCATGTTCTCCTACAAATAGAATTGCTTTGGAGATCTCAGCAGAGGAACACAGCTACTCATATGCCCTTGACAGAACAATATCCTCCCTTCCCTACTTGGATGGATGCCCTCTTCAACCAAACATGCAGCAACAGAAAAGATTAAAGGAAACTGATAAACAAGAGACATACAACTAGTAGAATCAACCCTAGCATATGGCATGTACTGAAACTAAAAAATGAAGGGTTTGAATGCTGTGTTTCTTTAAGCTTAAAAATTCTGAGACAACCAATTATGAAACAAATTCCTAAAGTTTGGAGTGATTAAAAAGTTTTGGAAATAGAGCTGATAATTAAGCACTTTGGGAGGCCAAGGTAGGAGGATCACTTGAGCCTAGGACTTCAAGACCAGCCTGAGCAAAATAGTGAGACCCTATCTCTACAAAATAACTTTAAAAATTAGCTGGGTGTGGTGGTGCATGCCTTGAGACTCTGAGGTATTAGGATCATTTGAGTCCCAGGAGGTTGAGGCTGCAGTGAGCCTTGATGGTGCCATTGCACTCCAGCCTGGGCAACAGAGAAAGACCCTGTCTCAAACAAAACAAAAAACAAAATTGGTTAAGGTGGCCTATTTTGTTATATATACTTTACCACAAAAAACTCAATTAACAATTTAAATAAAAATCCCTAAATAGGTCACCTCACAGCCCTAGTCAGCTTCTCTCCTTTCCCACTGCTAGCATCTGAAGGTTTCTCACCTTTCTCTGCCAACAGATACTTACTTCCACTTTGCGACCTGGAAACTAAAACAATCTGTTATCTCAACTTCCATTTAACTTCATGACTTAGAATTTCTGGTATAATATTCATTCCATTTACTCCCTTGAAAATATACACATACGATAATTTTTAAACAACCAAACATTTATCAATGACTTTATCTTTGTCCGTTTTTGCCTTTCTGAATTGCATGGAATCTATGTGTCTTTTGCAGTACCCTCCAGGTCCAGTCCTATGATGTGCTGTTACATGTTCTGTGCAAGTACTTAGGTTATGGAATTTTTGCAAGTCATTGGGGAAGCTGGCAAAGGGATAATGCATGCATGAGCAATGAGGGAAATTTGTTTCTCAGGGAAATGTCTAAGTCTCTCCCTTGTCAGAAACAGGGAAAAAAATCGTTATAGACCAGGCAAGTCCATCCTTACAGAATAAAAGAATTTCCACAGAAAGTATAATCTCTATTGACTTCCATTATAAAGTTGATAATGCTGTGTCACAAAGGCAAAAAAATCACCCTAACACCCTTAAGTTGACATTTTTAATAAGGAAGGCCTTTGGCTAGCCCCTACCCAGGGAGTACCTGGCCCACTGACTAGTGGCCACAAGACAGCCACTAGACATCCTCTTCTTTGCTGCATGCCTGACTCCAAAGTGCACCCACTATCCTACAACCTCCACCAAGCCCTCCAGGATTCCTTGCACCTGGTGACCTTCCTAGCAGCAGCAACACTGGGACCTGGTTCTCTCCCATCCCTTTGTTCTGGGCCTTACCAACATCTCAATAGAATGCAATCACAGTACCACACTGGTCCAAAGGGACCCTCTACCTCCACACCACACATGGTCCAGCCCCAAAAGTCCCTAACTTCAAGCCTCCACATTCTGAAGAACAAAATTCATGCCTTATCAGTTCTATAATTTCAAAGTCCATATATTGAGTTTACTTAGGAGAGCTATCTTTACAGCTAGGCCTCAGGGTAAAAATGTAATTATACTTTTCATGTGTGCCCAGACTGTCTAAACTATCTAAAACTGGGGCTGTGCTTTATACATTGATGGTGGAGTGGCAAATTAGCTCAATCTTTCTGGAAAACAATATGGCAATATGTAATAGGAGCTATAAAATTGTTCCTGCCCTTTGACTTGTTAATCTGACTTTGGGGAAAATGCCCCAAGGAAACAACCCAAAAATAATTTGCTAAAAAATGTTCAATTTTCCAATAATGAAAAAAAAAATACTATTGACTCAAATGGTCAAGAATAAGAGAATTAGAATCAAAATATGTTATATCACCATACAATAGACCCATCAAAAATAAATACTAAGTAAATTCGTTTTATATCATTAAAATGTAAGTTAAAAAGCAAATACATTGCCAAGTAGATATATGATTGAGTCTAAAGAGATATAAATGAGATTTTAAGGTTAATTAGTTATTCCTTCCTGTAAGTTTACCTAATTTCATAATTTAAATAAAAACAAAGGTAGACAAAGTAATCATGTACTAATGCCCAAAAAAGACCAAACCATTGAGTTTAAAACAATTAACAATTAGAGATCTCTTAAGACTCAGCAATTTCTAAGCAATATAAATTTATAAATATGCATATGTATTTATATTTTATATATACAATATATGTGCATGCAAATATGAAAGATACAGCAAAAGTCTATTTACATAACCATAAATTGTATTTTTCTCATTAACTTTCATTTATATTATTTATTCCAATTCAATCCTTTACAAACAGACCTCTTTTTGCTATGAAAAACTTTAAAAAGAGAACTAAGATTTTTATACAGAATGCAAACTGTTTAGCAGCTTTTAAACTGAAGCATCTTTACCCTCTTTATAGTAGTTCCCTTATACTGCCTTCAGATGGAGCAGACACATTGAAGACCCAGCTCTAACCCACTGGTTTTACTGCCTGGAAGATGGGTGTGTTATAACCAATGTATGTGAGTCATGGAACACACAAGGCTCAGCAAAGTGCTGATTATGCTTGTGTTGCCACATGTCCTTAACCTCTCTCCTTAGGACCTTCCCAGGCTACCTCCTTTTCCTTTCCAGGCAGACACACCCATGACCTGCTTTTACAAGCGGGCTCTGGTGGCCCAACCTTGGGACTGGTTCCTATGTTGGCAGGGAATGCCTAAGAAGCTTCTTGACTAGAGCACAATTTGCACTGAAATGCCAAAGAACTTCTGTCCCAATGTCCCAAGTTTGTCACTCCAATAGTGTCATAGTTCTTTCAGTTTCTATAAACTGATCTCTGATGTGACCTGGACTTTTCCTTATTTTTTCCTTTTGTGCCCTCTTTTCATATCACTCCCATCAAACTCCAATATTTCTGTGTCCCTGATTTCTGCTTGCTGAGAGTTCCACCCACATACCAACTTTTACCTTCCAGTGCTATGGATGCCACGATTTCATGCTGCTCACAGTGGCTCCCCCGGCCTGGTCTACTCCTGATTACCAGCTGTCTTATACTCTCAACCTTGACTCATTTCCCATACCTGGCTTCTTCTCAGCTATCTAGACAGTCTCAGGGATTCAGCTCAGGAGAAAAAAAACAAAATTAATGGGGCCAGAGGGATCTCAGCAGGTAAAAGAATGAAAGCAACCAAAATATACTTTGCAAATATTTCCAAATTATAAAACAAATTTACTTTGTTAGGCTGAAAATACCATTTAAAAAACTAATCAACACCTCAACACCTTATAAAGCCCACGCTCATTAATTAAGTAAACCAGCTGAAATCAGAAATAGCAACTTAAACGTTTTGCGGATCATAGCTAGACATTTGTTGATCTACAAACTTTAAGAAACGCAGACATGTGTGTGTGTGTATGTGTGTGTGTGTGTGTGTGTGTTTGGATGCATCATTAGCCTTGATCACATATTGATCCTAAATGTAAAGTATCACAATTCCAAAAAGAAAGAAACACATAAAAATCAACAGTGTGAACAATGCTCTTAAAAATATCGAATTTATAGAGCTAAATTTAACCTAATTTCAAAGCCATTTGACTTAAAAATGTGAGAATTACTGGGGCTAAATAAGATTAATAAATAGCGTATTTCTTTCACTAAGTAGTATCAGATACTCCTATCCTTATCCCTTATGATGGCCCCTGTGACCCAATGATAATTGGCCTGAATTTCAAATGGCCACAAATTCTAAACAGGAAGTGCAAATGCTTTCAAAATGAAGGCTCTACATAAATCACTTAATTGTATGTCAGCTACAAATGATTACCCTTCAGGATAAACACAAGTGTTTCTCTCTCAGGAGACTAGCTTTGATTCCACTTAATATTATTCTATGTCTTACATACATGCATGTATCAGTAGGTAATTATTTATGCTACCAAAGTTAGAGCCTAGTTATTTTAAGAAAGTCATATGTGTAAAACCCATACTTCCAAATCCTTTGGAATGCTAAAATAAGGTGGCATTGTGGAAAAAAACAAGTTACTATGCAATATTTTCCAACACACTGAAGGGCAAGATTTAGCCATCTAAAGCCAAATTCCACTTAATGTACCAAATAACTACACAAAAGTTTCCATACAGTCCTTGTTCATTACTTAACAGCTGTGTCTTTCAGTATGAAGTGTTCCTTGTGCATCTGTTTCCACAGGGAGACCTCTACCAAGTCACTTCTTTTTATATTAAGATAACAGCTTTATAATACGTATTCACTTAACACCAGTTTTTTAATGTCAGCTCCAGCCCTGAGCTCCAGAGGCTTGCCTAAATCTTGGATAAAACAGTTATGGAAAGGCCTTATGAGTAATGATCCAAATAATAATATTTCAAAGAACACTAATTTCAACCACAGCAAAAATCAAACTTACCACCAAGCACACAGTAAGAGAGCTGCTGACATTTCAACATGCTCAAGCATTGTATTTCTATTTTAATTTTTATTTTTTGAGATGGAGTCTCGCTCTGTCACCCAGGCTGGAGTGCAATGGTGCAATCTCAGCTCACTGCAACCTCTGCCTCCTGGGTTCAAGCAAGTCTCCTGCCTCAGCCTCCCAAGTAGCTGGGATTACAGGCATGTGCCACCACACCTGGCTAACTTTTGTATTTTAGTAGAGATGGTGTTTCACCATGTTGGCCAGGCTGGTCTCAAACTCCTCACCTTTGGTGATCCGCCCACCTCGGCTTCCCAAAGTGCTGGGATTACAGGCAAGAGCCACTGCACCCGGCCATGCTCAACCACTTTAGAGTCTGATAGAAGTGCAAGTTAATGCCTCGGCCATCTAACTTAAGAAGTATAACTTTGGTTCACTTTACCTTCTACTGTCAAGGCTAGAGCTACCTGTAAGTCTTGGAAGAGAGAGAGAACTTTTTGAAATGTTAACAAACATCAATTTACTAAGATATTTAGAAAATGAATCAGAGTTCTCTAATACGTCCCAACTGTTCATCTCTCAAAGGCTTTACTTAATTTTTCTCTGTCATTTAGTCTAGTACAAGGCACAGAGCAAAAGAGTGGAGATGAGCAGAGCAAGGGAATGAGACTCAAATACAGTACACATGTCAAATCCATGCATGGATGCTCTAGACTTTAGATTCGGGCTACTTGGAGCTCCACACAAAATACCATAACTCAAGTATATTATCTGTTTTTCATTTTTGTGGGAAGACATTTGACTTAATTAACCAATCTAGATGGTTCTGTTTTTTCCCATCCCTACCCCCTCCAAGATGAAAAAGGTTACTAAACCCACTGACTTTTCCTCATCCATCACTATTACTTTATTTGAGCTCTGATATTTTCTTAGCCTAAAAAATTTTTAAACAGCTTATTTTTAAAGGCTGAAGGTAGAAAGAAGTCATTCTGGGCTATTAACTAACTAGAAGCAAAGACAGAAATGTGCATTTCCAATTGATTTGTTTTAACCCACCTCCTCTGTTCTCCTGGCTCTAAGAGCAGAGACCTTTTGGAATTCAATGCTTGAAAGGAGCAGATAGAAAATGAATAGAGCAAGGTCCATGAAGCTTCAGAAAGTACAATTGTGCCATCAAAAATAACTAGTGTAGGGAATTTAATTCACATGGCAGTCTAGTTGAATAGTTTATTGCCTGGTGGGCTAATGCTTCTTACTATTTCTGTCCTCTTTTCCATTCAGATAAAAACAAAGAAACAAAGGCAAGAGATAAAAACAACAGTCTACTAGAGAATAAACTGTTCTAATAGACTACTATAAAAATTAAGTATATACACACACTCTTCCAGATCATTTAATGCCAAGTCCAAAGATCTTGCCGGTGACAAATTATACAATGTTTTAAAATTAGTGTATGTTGAAAGCTGTTTCCTAAGTTGCCTAGCTCTTTTAAACTTGTATTTCATACTGACTGCCTTTCAGTTCAATCATTTATTGAACATCTACTATATGTCACACTCTGTTCCGGGCAATGGGGATGTAAGTTACAAATGGCCTCTGATCTTGAGGAGCCCGTAATGAGTGTGAAGAAGATACTGTATATGTAATTTTAATAAAAAGTGGTTGGGCTACACGCAGTGGCACATCTCTGCAGTCCCAGCTATTTGGGAGACTGAGGGAGCAGGATCTCTTGAGCCAGGAGTTCAAGGCTGTAGTGTGCCATGATCACACCTGTGAATAGCCACTGCGCTCCAGTGCAACATAGAGAGACTCTCTCTCTAAAAATATAAGTAATTAAATTAAAAGGTGGTTGGTGTAAGAGTGATAGAATACTCAGGTTAATGCTTGAACATGGGGTGGGAGCATGAAAGAGGGCAGGGAAGGTTTCTTAGAGCAAATGATCCCTCAAATGAGGCCTGTAGAAGGACAGGCATTTAACCAGTGGGAGGAATATTTCAGGCAGAAAGAAGAAGGAGTGCCTAAGGCACAGAGGGATGAAACAGCATGATGGACGCTGCCAGGAGAGGGGGTGGCTAGGAACCCCAAGCAACTTTGCATTTTTGGAGATTAAATGAGAGGCAGAGAGTAACAGAAGCCAGGACGTAACAAATTCTGTGTGTCATCCTGGGCTGTAGGTGGCCAGATGCCACTGAAAGGTTCAACCAGAGGAATGAACCAGACAGATCTGGGTTTGAGATTCATTGCTCTGGCAACTTATAGCATAAAATGGCATCTCAGAAGGTGACAGGAAGTCAGGGGCTACTTTCTACAGCCCAGACTCTTCAGTGTCACTATTTGGAATGCAACCATTCCTGAAAGTCTACTCTAGAATGATTCTGGGGATGCCATGAGATCACTGGACCCAGAAGCAGTTGGGAACCTCAAGTGCACCACTGGGCCATTTAAGGTCTCTCCCCTGGCAACTCTCCAGAATCACAGACTGCTTGGATGATGGCTGGTTGTATAACTAGCTGCCTCTGACAGGCTCTAAGGTATAAGTGGGCAAGCAGATCTCCTCCATCAATGTTTGCTTTTTAACTCAAGCTCTGGAAAAGAGGCTATTAACAAATAGCAGAACAGAACCTGTCAAATACAAGTTAATTATGTTGAATTTATACTTAAGTCTCCTAACATACAGAACTTGGGATACCACAGGCTTTTGTTGCCTTCATTTTTTCCTTTTTTTTTTTAAAGACATTGTCTTGCTCTGTCACCCAGGCTGGAGTGCAGTGGCGCAATTTCGGCTCACTGCAACCTCCACCTCCTGGGTTCAAGTGATTCTCCTGCCTCAGCCTCCTGAGTAGCTGGGATTACAGGCACCCGCCACCATGCCTGGCTAATTTTTGTATTTTTAGTAGAGATGGGGTTTCTCTATGTTGGCCAGGTTGGTCTCAAACTCCTGACCTCATCATGTGCCCGCCTCATCCTTCCAAAGTGCTGGGATTACAGGCGTGAGCCACAGCGCCCGGCCAACACTTTTTGCTAATTTAACATTTAAAAAAGCATTACACTGGGCAGGTAACAGACACCTGGGCAAATAAAATGCTTCCCAGCTTTGTCTATGCCTCATTCCCTACCAGCCTTACAGGTTTTTCTTGGGTTGCCTCAGGTGAACCCAGGGGCTGCAGTCACAGTAGGCCTAGGAGCTTATGTCAAACTGGAGCTCTTTTCCCAATCCTCTGCAACTGCTCTTCACCCACCCCAGCCCAACAACTCACAGCCAAGAGCTAACGTATGAAACTCCAAAACAACAAATAAGTAGCATTCATTTCCCCCAGCTGAAGATCTCATTCCTTATCTTACTTTTGGTCCCACATCTCTGCCTGGCTCTGATTTTTTTGCCTTCCCCTCTTTTATATGTACCATCCAAAAAAGCTGAAATTGAGCATTTATTCCTAGTATCCATTCTCTGAAATATTATTTTCCTGTCTGTCATCAAAACCTTCCTTTTCCATAGCCAACGTAGCAAAATCTCACTTTCTCCATTCCCAGGCCATTTCCAGCCATAATAGCCCCTTCTCTTGACTTAATTCCTGTAATCATGGTTATTCATTTTGTAATAATGTATCTTGCATTGTCATCTGAATTAGCTTATACATTTTTTAAAGCCCAGACCAAGGCTTATACATTCTCAAGTCCCACGTGTGATGCCTACAGCGACATGCCTGGAGTGTGTGCTCAGTAAATCTCCATTGAACAATAACACTTTTACATTCACATAGATTTCTTCAACCAGCATTTTCATTCATAAAGATAACAGAAAGGCCCTCAAGAGCCTCTGTAGGCAGAGACTGAGAGCATTTTCCAGATTTATTTAAAAGGAAACATCAAGCCTAAAAAAAGGTTAAAAACACCTGTCCAAAGGTAAAGAAATGGCTGAGCCAACAGTAAGACCATGAGTGTCTCAACTTTATAAAAGAAAATATTTAACAACTAAACAGTATCCCCTATGACAAAGTTATCCTTACCTTCAACTCAAGACTTGTCTGCACTGAGAGTACTATGTATCTGTACTGTGCTTCAGAGAACCCAAAATGTGCAATAATACTGAAGTCATTTGTATTGTTATGGAAATGAATAATATGATTCTGGGACCAATAGTCTTTCAACAATGTGACACAATGTACTGGCACATTCCTCACATTTGGAGAAAGCCTGCCTGGGACAGAATCTGACAGGGCAGATGACCCACCTACATATAATCAAGAAGTTGATGATATATCATGTCTTTGGGAAGTGGCACAGAATACTAAATGGATCATATCACAGTTACCCCAGCAGAAATGATTATAATCAAAGGTATTATGCGCAAACGAATAAACAAAATGGGCTGGGAGCGAAGATTACGTAGTAAGATAGACTTCCTAAGCCTAATGAAATGACTGGAGCTGAAAATGTTCTCAGTTAAAAACATATGATTATGCACTAATAGATTTTTTAAATAAGCACAAATAAATAAATTAGTAATCATACAGACACTAATATACAAATGTATAATGTACGTTTTAAACACAAAACAGAAATTTGTAAAAGGTAAAGATAGAAACAGACCTTCTAAAATATTCTTCCTACACCCAATGAACTACTGGGCTCATTCCTTAGGATTCACCACCTCGCCTTGGAGATACTGCTTTAAAATATTTATAAAAGTGCAAAGCCAAAGGTTATTACTCTAATTATCTGGAAAACTCCTAAATTACTTTCTTCCCTTAACTAAAGCATATGTGCCCTAATGTCCATAGCAAATCCATTAAAATTCTAATGGTAAAAGGTCAGAGAATGCACAAAAAATCGGAGAAGGTTTATACTAGATAGTAACAAGAAGCTACAAAGTATAAACGGCTCAGAAGCAGAATTGATTTTGCTTGGTTTTGATCTAAACTGTGTCCCCTATAATTGCTGTGATTTACAGGCTCAGTGCTTTAACCAGTGTGCTGTTTCCGGCCACAAGAAGGAACTGGGTAGTCATTAAAAAACTGTCACATAAATAGCCACTTACCAGCTCACCTGGGGAGTGCAATGTTGGGCAAGTAGTAAAGAATGACAATTTTATTTATTTTACTATGTGTAAACTCCCTAAGGAAAGGGGCGGAATAGTAAATTTTCTGAACATTCAACCCTTAATTATCCACACAGCAGATCAGAGAAGTCAAAGTAAATAATCAAAAAAAATTTTATAATCACTTTGTAATGAAGACATATATTCAGGTATACTCAGGCGTTTTTCATTAAATTACACAGGGACCACCAGCCCCAAAATGGTAGAGCACAGAGATCAAACACACGAGCTTTGGAGTCAAGGCACCAAAGCCTAAGTAATGGGCTTAGTAACTTACTAGTTGTATAACCTTAAGCAAGTTATTTAACCTCGGTAATTTTCTATTCCCTCTTCTGTAAAATGAGGAAACTAACATCAGCTACCTTACAGGTTTGTGGACAAGATTAAATGACATAAGGCATTTGAAGTACTCAACAGAGTACTTGGTAAATGTTTAATAAATGTGTATTTTAGTATTATTAGAGCTTAAGAACTGGAAGGAAATCAGCAGGGAAGAGAGAGAGAGAGGATATAATTATGGTCAAGTATATTGCAAAGCGATATAAAAGTCACTTTAAAGAACAACTGCTGTTCTTCTAAAAATATCCAAGTAACATGCATGTACCCTAATTGCTTTTGTGAAAACCATGGTTTTTGACCAGATACCTATTCTAGGAAAGCAAGAAGAAAAAGTTACTTTTCTTCCTATCTGAAAGAGTTTCCCTCCCTGTGTTTCTAGCAATCTAGTTACCTATCACAGAGGTAGAAAACCCTGATTCAGTGTGATGGAGGCCCCTGGGGTTACTGAGACCAGCAAAAAAAGTGGAATTCATACATTACCTGTGCCCAGTGGTTTTTAAATACAATCATGCATGTTTCTGGGTCAACTCCCTGTAGGCTCACAGCCTGCTGGAGTTTGCTTTCTGTCGAAACCGATGACATCATAAGCCTTCATAAATCAATGCTTCTAAGTCATATTTAATTTTCATTAAAATTTGGTAAGCCGTCACTAACTTTCAAGTTTGAGAAATGTAACTTCTTCACATTTCATTGTCACCTTCCAAAACCTGTAATGGCAATAATAAAAAAATGAATTTTATTATGTTCATAAATTAAATAGGAAACTGACTATTAAATTTAAATCAAAGCTTAGACATTCTCAAAGTCCAACACAGAAAAAAATCTACAAAACAGATATTATACTCAATCTAAAGGCTCTCCTGTTTTCTCCTACTTTGCTACTAAAAATACAAAATAATAATGCTAGCTAAGATACATGAGTAAATGAAACAATTATTGGGTTTCTTCTCTCCACTACAACCAGCCACAACCCCCCAAAATTACTATTCTAAAGCACTCAAGCTCAAGTCTAGTTCCTAGAATCAAGTAAGAAACTATTAGGTTGGTGCAAAAGTAATTGCGGTTTTTGCCATTACTTTCAAGGGCAAAAACCGCAATTATTTTTGCACCAAACTATTATGATACCAGTGTTTGCAGAGTTTAAAAACACTCAGTAACAGGAAAACCATGAGTTAACAGCAAGAGAAATAAACGGCTTGATGCAACTTGGGGGAGGTGTTATAAAACAGCACCCAGATTCCTGGGTCTAATTTGATTGAATATTTTTTTAAATCAATGGCTGTCAGAATTGAAAGGATTCTCAATCATTTTGTGGCTATAAACTAGGTTAAAGTTTCTAGCTTTTCTGAAAAATAATGGAATTCCAAGTAACCTTGACAAATCAGAGATAGAAATGATCCATCAAAAACAAGATAGTGTTTATTAGGTGTGAGTGCAAGGTAGCACACTTACAAATGAAAAATGAAACATGGAAAAAATACAAAGAAATCCTGACTACCAGACAGCAAGTAGGGGAAAAAAGAAATTGAGGTCATAGAGTGTACGGTGAATATGATCCATTTGTGTGGCACTGACGAAAGCAGTAAGGCAGTGGTATTGTCTCACTAGTTTGATCAGCCCATAAAAGGACTGGGTATAATTCAAAATATTATTTTTTTTCGTGTACAGATTGGGAAGAGTTCAGAAAAAAAGTAATTACAACTACCAGAACCCTGGAAAACAAAAGCCATAATAAAAGTTTGTAGACTTGTAATGTCAAAAGAAAACAGGGGGTAGCCATTATCAACACAGTAATAGGAAGGGTATTACAAGGAGAACACCGATCGGCTATTCCTCCCTACAAACAGTAAGATGGGAGAAAGTGGGCTTCAGAGGAGACTCAGGGGTTAAGTTCCTTGTGGGGAGTAGAATTAGACACTGGAAAATAGTTTAGGAGTATTTAAAACAAGCACTTCTGTTAGTAGGAGGGCAACCATTCGACATGAAAAGGTCTTAGAAAGAATTTTTGGGACATAAGAACAGAACACTTGCAAGCATAGTACTGAGGAAAGAAACATTTTTGAAAAAGAATGGAGGAGGGTTAAGGTATATAGAAAGGACGACCTGTTAGAAGAAGTACACAAATCACATACTCCAGGAAAACTGCCTGTGTGTTTCTTCTACAGCTGTATTTTATTATGAAAATTGAATTCCCCAAACTAAAATTCCAAATACTACAAACTTGTTTTCAGTGGACACTGTCCAGTGGCAACCATAGTCCTTTGCTACTATTGGGTCCATCTGGTGTTTCAAACATCAAGAGTGGCTATCCCACATTTGCAGGGTACGCATTCTCCCGTCCCCACAGTCCCTGCCACTCCCTGTGATCTTACTGCCAGAACCTTCACCTCATTCAGGTTACCTCACTAGCCCTTATAAACATTTACATTTACAGCCTTGTTTTAAATGATAAGAGATAAAACAAGATTCTGAATCAACTTCCTTGTTATTCTACACACTACATTTCTGTGAAAATGTCAAGGCCTTTCATTTAGGTTACATAATGATCATAACGAAGAAAATCAAAGTTTTGTGTTATCCCAGAGATCGAAAAGCTACAAGACTCAGGTCTTTCCAGCTCCAGAATTCAAAGATTCTTCTTCAAAGGTATGAAAGGAACATACATCATGCCAATTGCTTCTAAATCAAAAACAGAAAGATATGCTAAGATCCTTCAAGTTAGTTTTCAGAAGGAATTTACATGCAATCTTCTCAGAAACGGTGAGAATGCAGTATAGACAGGATAAATAGCCAATGTCATGAGCTTACTAGTTTGCTGTTGTTGTTGTTTGTTGGTTGTTGTTGTTGTTTTATTAGAGACAGGGTCTCAATCCGTCACCAGGCTGGAGTGCAGAAGCCATCATAGCTCACTGCAGCCTTGAACTCCTGGGCACAAGCAATCCTCCCGCCTCAGCCTCCCGACTAGCTGGGACTACAGGCATGTGCCACCACACCTGTCCAATTTTTTTTTTATTTTTTGTACAGACAGGGTCTCCCTATGTTGCCCAGGCTGGTCTCGAACTCCTGAGCTCAAGCAATCCTCCCGTTTTGGCTTCCTAAAGGGCTAGGATTACAGGCATGAGCCACCATGCCCAGCACAAGTTAGTTTTGATAGAAATAGAATATAAATCTCTATATTCCCAGTCCAATGCTAAAACTCCCAAGAGAAGAACAGAGGACAGAATGGAGGCAAAAGCTGTAAGTAGGTAAAGCAGCTGCAGTCACTAAAATATGAGTCTGTCATGAATATGGCATCATCAGACGTTTCTCCTTTCTTTCCCTCTGCACTCTTCAGTCTAAGGTACGTGATGTCAAAAATGTTTCAAGTAAACCTTGCCACTTTTGGCACACATCCAGTCTGTTCTTCCCGTAAAGACACACATGCACATTGACTCAAATTTCATGCCTGAGAGAGAGCTCTACAAACCATTTAGATGCCAAGGAGTGATTTTTTTTTTATCTTTCTTCAAAAAAACCACCAACACAAAAAAAACACTCAAAGAACTCTGCAACAGTGGGTGCATGTAGGTGTGTGGTGTGGTTGAGTTTTTTGGTTGTGGTAATGGGCAAGAAAGAGATGAGCTGTCAAAATATATATACAATAGCTTGATATTTCAGCATAAATTCTACACTGCAAAGACAGAACTGACTATAGACATTATTGAGTGGCCATATTTATATCTCATTAATATTATATATAAAAATACTTTCCATCAATAAGGAAAGAAAAATTATATTAAATATTGTTAGAGACAGGGATAACTGGCCAAATAATTATATCTATTTTTATTTGCTGTTTTTCAAAAATATATTTATTTGACGATGCAAAAAGCAAAACATATGCTTCCACCTTACAGAATTATAAAATATATCATATAATCATAAAAGCTCAGATTCTAGCCATCTAAATCACACCTCTTTTCCAATGTAAAAATTTCTTCACTTTTTCCAGTGTAAAAACTTCATTCCCAGATAGACATCTTACCCAACTTCAGACTATTTGGACAGCTACAATAATTAGAAAAGCTAAAAATATGTCAAAATCGCATTTCCTCCTGAACTTTCAATAACTATATTTTGATATATCCCTTTCTCACTATCAGACTAAACTTAAATTATAAACATCTTGGCATTTAAATATTATCTCATACAATCCTTCAATTCTTTTATCTGTTTAAATAAATACTCTCTAATGATGAACTATTTTTAAAAATTCTTAAGGGAAAGAAATGGAATGGCCACCTTAAGGGGAGACGGAGCCAGAGGAACATTTTTATTGAAGGAAAAGTGATTATATTGGCAGGCCTAATGGGAATGAACCAATGAACATGGATAATTTGAAGATACAAGAAAAAGATTTTTGATGGAGCAAAAGGAGCAGAAGAAAGGTGAGATCAAGAACACAGGCAGGAGAGTGCTAGAGATAAAAGGGAGGCAAAGCCAAGTCTTTCACAGTGAGTTTCCAAACCAAAACCACTACCTTATACTTGATGGGAAGCACAGCTGGCTCCCTTCCTACCCCTCCTTCTTCATCCCTCCTGATATTACTCTGGTTGGTTTGTGGAAATGGCTAGAGAATATAGGTAGATTTAAAGTAGGGAACAAAGGGTAATGGCTAAGAGTTGTTGGCTCAGTCCAAGCCTGAAAGTCTAAAAATTTAAAGTCCCAACCTGGGAACCTGAGCTTTGAGCTAGGAGGCAGGGACCCAAAACTCTAGTTCTAGCTCTAACCAGCTGTGAAACCTTGAGTGAAAAATGGGACTCTTCTTTTGGAATGTCACTTAAGTAAGCAGTTACAACTAAAGTAGGATTTCTTAGGTCTCTTACAGCTTGAGTCATTATTTTATGTACTTTATCACAACTGTTATACCAATTGGAGAGGGGTAATCAGATAATCATTAAAGAAGGATGATGGCCTTTGTACAAAAATCTTTATAAGAAATCTAGTTGCAGATGGGATTCTTTTTACTACTAAGGCATATTTGACTTAAGGAACGTACAGCACAGGAATCAGCCACAGTAAATATAATTCCATGATTGAGGTTTTTTTTGTTTATTTCCTGAGCAACTGCCAATAGAAAAATTCATTGTTTGAGAATGTACTTTGGAATGCCCTGAATTGGCTGCTACTAAATACATAAAAAATATATAAAAAGTCTATTACTGTAAATGTGCTTATCATGTAAAATTCCATCTAAGGATGAAGACTCATCAAATATTGGGAACACCTTAAGAGAGGTGAACCTTGTGCCCTCAATTATAACTAATAGCAGTATTGAGGAGGGTGTTTCATTTTGGGTCAAATTACCTCAGACAACCTCTTCTTAGAGCCTCATAAAATCCTATTAAACCTAAATCCTCCCTGTGCTCTAATCTTCTGGCCCAGTTCTCTTTTCTCTCTCACCACAATATCACAGGGCAATGCTGGACTGCGAAAAATAAAGCAAGCATCTAATAGCCCCCTATTCTTCTGGACCTTGTGCTTAAGCCTCCCTCAATTTGCCATAGTTTAACTCCAGCTCATTCACTGTAAAACGTCCATCATTTCAGTAAATCAGAATCTTATTTCATTCCACCAACTTCTAGGTCACCAGTTAACACACAAAATGTGCACAAAGAAAATTCGGTCAATACACACATTCCAAATGGTTTCCAGCTTTGGAAAATACATGCTTCAAAACAGTAACAAGATACCTAAAACTTAATAATCCCACGAAACAATCCTACCTCGTTTTACACCTTAATTTCACAAGAACAGGCTACCAACTATGTCATACCCAAGTGCCATGCAACTGACTGATGAGCAGAATAAATGTGAAAAGAAAAATTAAAATATTCAAATTCCTATCTGAAATTTGTTTTTGGACTTAATTTTAAAGCTATTTAGGAAACTAAGTAGATCAATTATACCTCGATAAAGCTTAAAATTAAAAAAAATTTAAAGAAGAAACTAAATCCCTATAGGCAAGGATTTAGAATGTAAAAATTATGTATTTTGAAATTTATAGCAAGTATTGAGATATCAGCTCCTTGGCGATTGAACAGAAAAGTTTCTTATACACATAGGGTGATTTGTTGAAACCTAAAAATTGGACCATTCTTGGGGAAAGTCTCCCCACCAACCCAACTGATCACTGTACTCTTGATAGTATACACCATCCTTTCACATCACTATTTTGTTGAAAGCTATTAAGAAACAACTTGTTTAAGATTCTTGCCACAAAACCCTAAAAGTTGACTAAGGTAAACGCAGAAAAAAATGATCTGACAAGTTCTATAGGGTAGAACTTGAAAGGCGAGACTTGAAGTAGATGCTCTGAATCTTTCTAAGAAGAACCCTCTCACTTCATAAAGTTATATTCAAAAAATGTTCCTGGAAAAAAAACAGAAATGTAAGTTTTTGTCTTGGTCATGTTCTCTGGAAGAGTAGGTACCTTTGGCAAGTGATGTTGTTTAGTCTAATACCTGTATCTACAGTTTTGTCAATCAGAATTAGTTCCCCACCCAGTGCTTTAAATCCCTTCATGTGAACATGTGCAGCTTTGCAACCTGTAGTGTTATCCAGATGATGTGATGCTTACCTTTTGAAACGTAAAAACCAATCTTTCAAAAAGGTTCTTTATCTACATGATATAAAAGTACTAAGTGTAATTAGTGAAATAACAATAAAATTCCATATACATCCATGAATCTCATAAACTGTGGGCATATTTTTCTGAAGAGAGGTGGCTGTAGTTTTCAGCCAATTCTATAAAGGGTCCATGAGGTGCCCCGCTTCAATAAAGTTTAAAACCCACTTTAAAGATGCATTCATGGTAAAACCATTGAGAATCGAGTCCCAAAACAGGCTAATAGCCAGTTCACATTCTCATGGTATTACTGAAGATGTAGTTGTGGAATTTTGTGACTTCTGTGATAACAAAAAGTTCTGCTATGAACAGAGCAGAAGTAAAAAGAACTCATCTCATGAAAGTCACACAGATATCATGGAGTCTGACTCAGACTATCAAGTCAGAGTCAGACACATTCTCTTAGCCACCAATAACTCTCTATCTATAGCTACTAATTACACTAGTACCTTGCAGCATTGTTTAAATGGTAAATGATTGAAAAGACCCTACATATCCATCAATACTGGTTTGGTTATATAAACGACAGCACTTCTATGTAATGGAATACTATGTTACAATTATAAAAAAGATACAGCTCTTAATGTACTGATAGGATAAGGCTGCCAAAATATATACAGAACAGCAAGTATAGTATGCCACGATTTGTGTAAGAAGAAAAGCAATGTATTAGCCCATATGATTGTAGATGCATAGAAGATTTCTAAGAAGATACACAAGAACTCTTAAGGTGGCTGAGTCAGCACAGGGCAGTGGGGGCTGGGGGACAGCTGAAGAAAGAAGACTCACTTTTCAAACTGTACCTTCTTTGACTTTTTGAACTTTGTACCATATTTATGTACTACTTAGCAAAAACATTTTTTATTTAACAAAATAAAAGCAAAAGAACAACTTAAATAAAAGGAAAAGGACTTGCTATGTCTACCATAAGTATAGCAATGACAACATATTTGAAGTCTCTTCTGAGTCTCAATATGAAAGGAAAGTACCTGCACGATGAGTATAGCCTGATGGGTATGAGTAGGGATAAAAGAGTAGCTTAATACAATATGCTATTTGACTCCATCATAATGACTACCAAATGTCTGAAAGATATTTAACAGAAAACATATAAAGGAAAACCAACTGCATCTGTACCTAGAAGAGTTGTTAACTTCCAATGGAATAAATATATACAAAAATAACATATCAGGAAAATGTAAATAATTCACAGAAGAGTGGTAGTCTTATTTTCAGAAGCACTTTTTAAGTGGTTGTCTTAATATTATTGTTGCACAATACTCAGTGAATTAAATTTATGCAATTTACCTTCAGTCTAAGTGACTAGCTCTAGGAATTTGTAAAATTAATCTTTTGCCAAAGTTTTTGTCAGTCTAGATCAGTGGTTCCCCAAATGTGGTCTGAGGGACCCTAGGGTTCCCCAAAACCCTTTCAGGGAGCCTCAATGGTTCTCAACAATTTTTTCTAGGACCTCTTTTTAAGGAACAACGAAATCGGTCAAAGTAAATGTAGCTCACTACGAAGATTTCTCATATCCAGAAAAGCTTCCTGCACTCAGCTTACCATAACTTCACTTAAGCAGTTTGAGCACTATTCACTGCAACACTTTTTCTGTTTGTTTGTTTTGTTTTGTTTTGTTTTGTTTGAGACAGGATGTTGCTCTGTTATCAGGCTGGAGTACAGTGACGCATCTCGGTTCACTGCAACCCCTGCCTCCTGGGTTCAAGCGATTCTCATGCCTCAGCCTCCGAGTAGCTGGGAATACAGGCGTGCACCACCACGCCTGGCTAATTTTTGTATTTTTAGTAGAGACACGGTTTCACTATGTTGGCCAAGCTGGTCTCGAACTCCTAAGCTCTAGTGATCTGCCCGCCTCAGCCTCCCAAGGTGCTTGGATTACAGGTATGTGCCACTGCACCTGGCTACACCACAACTCTAAAATTGGCTTTTCTTATGAGATTGTTTTTCTACTCGTACAAAACCTATTCTCTCCAACTAAGATTTATTCTGAAAACTAAATATTATTATGCACCTGTAAATAAGTTTCTTAGACTTCCTCTTTAAAATATTGCACTCATTAATGGCAGATCTAACTGCTTTGAAGCTTTCATTTTGTCCCAAGCATCATTTTGTGAAATTCTGACAAGATTGTTTACCCCTGAATAAAGCAGTACTGTATCTCACTCAACAAAGAATACATTCTCAATGTCTCTCCCTTATATATAGAACAACATACACTGTAGCACACGCACATACACGTGTAAGTCTAGCTCAGCATACAGATGTAAATAATAATCAATAGTTGTTGCCTTTTCAGAGACCCTACAATAGAAAAAGCCTCGTGTCACCTTCAATTAGCAAAGGGTAAAGGAGGATCTAATTTCTGCTTGGAGGTCCAGAATTTAGGCTTACCATGCTGTACTTCCAAGAAATAAAAGTAAAAGCTGAAACAACTTATACTGAGCAACTTCTCTGCCACAGCAAAGATGGCTTATTGACTGGATGGCCGCCACCCCTCCAAGCAGAGAAGCTGTCTCTATGGGGAGGAATGCATTAATTTATCCAAAAGCCTCCAGAAGCAAGTGGGTAGATCACAACTCTCCCATATTCTGCTTCAATTCATCTACACTTTCCTCTAGAGTGACTGGCATAGACTTGAATGGTTTCAGGCTATCTATGCTTCTTTAATTAAAAGTCTTCTCCACTAAATTAGCATGTGTGTATCAATGTCTTTTGCACAGGGGGAAAAAAGAGAAAGCAAAAGCAAGAAAAGAAAAATCAAAGACTATTCTAAATTAAGTTTTGCTTCAGATAGATTTTGCATTTGGCGCTATTTCTCCCTAGAGTTGGTGCTTCAGGTAGAAAACAATGAGCAAGAATAGACAAGGTTCCTACTTCCCCCTTGAAAGCATCCTGCACTTTGGAGTTAATTGACTTCTAAAATCAAAGGAGTTGTGAAGAGAGTATGGAAGCAAAACAGGAACCTAGATAGTTCCTTTTATGTAAAAATTATTTTATATGTTATTAACACATATATTCACAATAATTCACTTCCATTCTATGCATTAGGTAATTACCAAAAATTGATTATCTGACCCAATACTATTAGAGTGAAATTGCAATATATGGGGACTAGATTCTGATGTTACTGAATAAGGCAAAACATGAAAATACCAAAAATTACCAGCTAACATCCCTTAGCGAGGCATTTGTTGGAAACCAACACATTTTTTTTTTCTCATTAAGTTGGACAAAACAGCTGAATATCCAACAAAGCAGTAGGCACTTGGGGTCAGGATGTACAAAAAATAATATATGTCTTCAAATGCAAGAACTACTTTCAGCACAGTGAGATACCCACACTATGAGAGCGGCTGGTGGAAACAGTAGGTATACATCTATAATTCCTGAAGAATAAACTCAAAATTATCTTAACCTTGTAAATGATTGTCTTCCCTCTCTCCATCTCTCCCTTTCAATCTCTGGTTTTAAGGGGGCAGATAATGCCAAGAACATATACAATGAATGAAATGACTATACAAAACTGGAGCTCTCTTCAGAATAACTACCCTGGAGGGGCTTCACAAACGTTACTAATTATACACTGAAATCTGCACGGAGTTCCAAGTAAATTATATTTCCTGCTTTCATAGAAAAGGAATGTAATACAGGTAAGCCATCCAAGAGACAACTCAAGTAAAATTAAAGACAGATTTTTCCATTAAGTAAACATGTCTGTGTTTCTAAAATGTTTTGAAAACCCACAAATATAGCACACAAACACTGCTAATTAGAATTCAATAATAAACATCATCCTCTGCAGAAAGAATTTTCAAAAGTGAGGGAAAGGATGATGATAGAATAGAAACCAAACAAATACAAGCATTTGGATTTTAGGTAGACCTGATCATACTAATATCAATAACTATATAATGAACTGGTAAGGAAATTAGCAGCAGTAACTTCCAGCTCTCCCATGTAAGTTGCTCCTTTCTAGAGAACTTTCAGCTTTAAAAATCTGACCATGTTTAGTTCTGAAGGCTCCCAAAAATACGCATATTATAATTAAAGTACACTTAAAATATGAGAGTATATACCTTAGCACTAGAGAATCGTTCACATTTATACATTGTTTACTGAGAGAATAAAATTATTCTCTCCAAAAAGCTGCCACAACCTTTTCTATTATTTGTTCTGAGAATGTAAACCTTAGAGTAAGAAAAAAATAAAAGGGATGCTATGGTGCTTGAATTAAATATTTTATATGATTATATCACAATGACATCTTCTTTAGTCTAACATAATCAGTATTCTATATTTGTTGCTTGCACAAAACCATAATTACTCGTTGATTTGATCAAAATTACTAGCTGACTTGAGCAATTCAGTCAGCCAGCCAGCCTTCAGGGTAATTAGTCAAATCAACAGTCTATCAAAGTGACTAATATATCTCTGAATCATGGGTTAAACTACCTACAACATCAAGGCAATTCTTAGATTTGTTCCAAAACCTCAGTTCATCTTGTTTAACTCCATAGGTTATTTTTCTCATAATTTAATTTGCTCTGTACACAGTTGAGAGTTTTTCCTCCCCTTCAAGGAAGAAAATAAAAGTGACAATAAAAACCTTTTAAGAACTTTCTTATTTCAAAAAAGTAAAATAAAAAAGTACAGAATTCAATGAAATCAGATACTCTTGTTTCAAAAAATAAGAGGAGGAGGAGAGTTGTTTTTGTTATTGTGTAAGTGGGGGCATAGTCAAGGAGAAAGAAACAAAAATGGATTCTTACCAATCAAACCACTTCACAGTGCCTCAAATTCCATTAAAGGCCACAATTCTGTTGATTTGATGCCAGATGCCTCTAAAATGTTCTTACCCAAGAAAAGTATGTTTTTTGAAAGAACAAGGAAAGCAATACATTTAAAGGCTAGAGAAAATTTTCTTCCATTTACTTGGGTCAGTGTAACATCCATCATGCAGAGACACAAATACCTTACAGAATAAAAGATCAGAGGAGCTACACCAGTAGAAGATCAAAGAGCCAACGCCTCTGGGGGAATCAAACAAGTAACTGCCTGAACAGAGCCCCCTGTGATTTCTCTCATAAATCTAGCTTCTGTGATTGGGGGGAGAACCACAAAGCAGAACATGCTATCCCAAAAAAGTGATTAAAAAATAATTAATTCCAGTTTGGCTCTCTCTCTCTGGAGAAAGAATCTTTTCAAAGTCATTAAGTAGAATAACTATATAATGGAAGTCTTAAAAAAGCAAAAATGTTTGAATTATCTACGCACACTAACTACAAGGCATATGAAATTATCATATATATTCAGTCTAATAGCAAACCAGAAGAAATGAAAACATATTTAGTAAATGGTTGCAAAAGTATAAAAAGAAACTGCATGCTTTTAACAGAAGCCCTCAGATTTAATTCCACCTGCGTGGGCTAAAAGGGAGCACTCTGTCCATCCCTGTCACATGTGCAGTTAAAAGAACAAGTTGTCATTAAAATTGAAGGGTGTAAAATTCACAGTAGAAATAGAACATGTCCAAAAATTTTCAGCATCCCAAAACCTTTGGCTACCAACATCAAAAACACTACGCTGAACAAAGTGCCTACTAAGTACCTGCCTTAAACCTGCCTATTAATATCTTTCTCCTCTAAACCTTTTAGTTTAACTACATCTCCCTATGGTGATGTAGTTTCTGCCTTCTGCTGTGATTATTTCAGAACCAGAGTCTGGTCTCCTTGAAGGTAGGGATCACATTTTTATGTTATTCATGTATTGATTTAGTAAGCATTTAATCCAAGAGCCCAAGATGTGCAGTGTGGGAATGTGAATAAAATCTAGTCCCAGGAATCAGGGAATAAGCAGCTTACTATGGAGAGGTGTTTGCATCAGCAGATAACAGTAACAGCCACCAGTGAGAAAAGCCACTGTTTATTGGGCACTTACTCTGTGCCAGGCACCACACTAAATTGTCTATTCAATTCTTACAACCACCCACTGAGGTAGGGCGTCATCCCCATTTACAGATGAAGAAACTGAAGCCTAGAGAAAAGTGACTGGTCACATGGGTAGTAAGAAGAAAAGTCAGAGGACTGGGAGGACTGGATGGGAGCCAAGAGTCAATGGGCAGCTGTGATCATAAGAGGGGTATAGGAATGGCTTTACCAGGAAGGAGCTCCTGCATAAATACCTTGCTTGCATAGGAATAGATCCGAGGGTGATACAAAGAAGCAATTCACCTAAGCAAATAAAAAGAGTGCTGATAAAAACATGATGTGATTTCCTGCAGTTCAGTCTCTAATGAAACCTCTACATTTGTTTTTTGTTTGTTTGTTTGTTTGCTTGGACATAAGGTCAACAGAACAGTGTCTTGGAATTTTCACCTATCACATATCCAACTTTCAGAGAGATTAAAAGATTGGAAATAGGCAAAACAATGACTTGAAGAAGCTGTAACAACTGGTTTACTAGTCATTGCTACCACCACAATGTATCACTCAAACAGTCTAGAAACTTCGCATTTCAGCCACTACAGATATTCCATTTCCCTGGTTAAGTCAAGTCTAGCTATACAAATCAATTCCAACTGGTTAGTAATTCTAATACACGATAGAAATATAAACAAAACTGATTATCCTACGAGTTAAAAGAAAAAAACACTAAATATTAATCACTTAAAGTATCTCAATTAATTACTTCATTCTAAAGGAAAGGATACATTAACTGTATTGAGAGATAAATCACCCAAAATGCAGACTCAAAACATTTTTGTTTCTTCCCTTTCATATGGCAGATACTGATCAATAATACAAGGAATACCCACAAATTTAGTTGTATATATTCCCTGTTTTTATACAATTTAAATTAGCAAATTAAGATTTAATTATATGTACTTTTCTTGTAATTGTTTATGAAATATAAAACCATGTGATATTATAAATAAAAATGCAGGTCATTAATCATTGATCTTCATATTAAATCTCCCACTGTGGATCAGATTCTGCAATTTGACTCCTGGCTTTAGAAAATTTCTGTAGATCATGTTCATCTTCTCCATGCAGCATACTCCCAGATTTTTCCTCAAATAATTATAATACAAAGCACATTCCTGTATGTGCAATTTAAAGATCTGTGGCTTAGCCAGGTTTGGAATTAAACACTAGAACAAATCACATCATGAATCAAATAAATTGTGTAAGAAAGGTGGTTCTATTTTTACAGGGTTATGTACCAAACCTCCTTAACATAAACACACACATACACACACACCCGGGAGAAATGGATCTGTTAACAGATTACATCTTTTTGTTTTTGCTTTTGTTTTTTCTTTTTTTTTTTTTAATTATACTTTAAGTTCTAGGGTACATGTGCACAATGTGCAGGTTTGTTACATATGTATACATGTGCCGTGTTGGTTTGCTGCACCCATTAATTCGTCATTTACATTAGGTATTTCTCCTAATGCTATCCCTCCCCCATCCTCCCACCCGACAACAGGCCCCGGGGTGTGATGTTCCCCACCCTGTGTCCAAGTGTTCTCATTGTTCAATTCCCACCTATGAGTGAGAAATGCGGTATTTGGTTTTCTATCCTTGTGATAGTTTGCTCAGAATGATGGTTTCCAGCTTCATCCATGTCCCTGCAAAGAACAAGAATTCATCATTTTTTATGGCTGCATAGTATTCCATGGTGTATATGTGCCACATTTTCTTAATCCAGTCTATCATTGATGGACATTTGGGTTGGTTCCAAGTCTTTGCTATTGTGAATAGTGCCACAATAAACATATATGTGCATGTGACTTTATAGTAGCATGATTTATAATACTTTGGGTATATTCCCAGTAAAGGGATTGCTGGGTCAAATGGTATTTCTAGTTCTAGATCCCTGAGGAATCACCACACTGTCTTCCACAATGGTTGAACTAGTTTACAGTCCCACCAACAGTGGAAAAGCATTCCTATTTTTCCACATCCTCTCCAGCACCTGTTATTTCCTGACTTTTTAATGATTGCCATTCTAACTGGTGTGAGATGGTATCTTACGTGGTTTTGATTTGCATTTCTCAGATGACCAGTGATGATGAGCACTTTTTCATTTGTTTTTTGGCTGCATAAATGTCTTCTTTTGAAAAGTGTCTGTTCATATCCTTCTCCCACCTTTTGATGGGGTTGTTTTTTTCTTGTAAATTTGTTTGAGTTCTTTGTAGATTCTGGATATTAGCCCTTTGTCAGATGGGTAGATTGCAAAAATTTTCTCCCATTCTGTAGGTTGCCTGTTCACTCTGATGGTAGTTTCTTTTGCTGTGCACTCTTTAGTTTAATTAGATCCCATTTGTCAATTTTGTCTTTTGTTGCCATTGCTTTTGGTGTTTTAGACATGAAGTCTTTGCCCATGCCTATGTCCTGAATGGTATTGCCTAGGTTTTCTTCTAGGGCTTTTATGGTTTTAGATCTAACATTTAAGTCTTTAATCCATCTTGAATTAATTTTTGTATAAGGTGTAAGGAAGGGATCCAGTTTCAGCTGTCTACATATGGCTAGCCAGTTTTCCCAGCACCATTTATTAAATAGGGAATCCTTTCCCCATTTCTTGCTTTTGTCAGGTTTGTCAAAGATCAGATGGTTGTAGATGTGTGGTGTTATTTCTGAGGGTTCTGTTCTATTCCATTGGTCTATATCTCTGTTTTGGTACCAGTACCATGCTGTTTTGGTTACTGTAGCCTTATAGTATAGTTTGAAGTCAGGTAGTGTGATGTCTCCAGCTTTGTTCTTTTGGCTTAGGATTGTCTTGGCAATGCAGGCTCTTTTTTGGTTCCATATGAACTTTAAAGTAGTTTTTTCCTATTCTGTGAAGAAAGTCATTGGTATCTTGATAGGGATGGCAGTGAATCTTAGTTATACTTGTACAATTACCTATCTACCTTAACACTATGTTCATCACACAGAGATTATCTGATGACCTTTTGTCCACTTCCCCTACCCTTTTACTAAATTTCAAGCTTTAATAGCACTGTAATGGATGCCCTCAGGTTCCCCTAAATCCCTCCAGGACCAAAAAGTTTATTCTTCCAGCTGCCAGGAGTGCTGTGGGCTGTCAGCCCTCTCCAGAATTTTCCCTCTGCCAAAGACAGCTGCTTTGCCCGTGATTAAGCCCTCCCCCTTAAGGGCAGTTCATATCCATGACTAAAGGAGGATGTTGCCCCCATCCCCAATTCAGGACAACTCTGAGGGAGTCAACCCAGTTTCAGAGCTTCCTGTAGGGTCAGCCTAGGCCTTAGAAAGGACTTGATGGTTGTCCAACATCATCCTCTGCACAGTCCTGCTTCTCTCCCTGACAGGTGCTGATTCAGAGAACATACCCTAACAAACTCCTGCATGCAAATCTCCACCTCAGAGTCTGCATCCCAGGATGTCAAGCAACTAGAACCACAGTATCCATCAACTAAGAAACTACATATCTAAGGTTATTAAAGACACTTAGAGAGAGGGAAAATATTAGTTTTTTAAATTCAGAAATCTTTTAAATGGTACAAGCCTTCAAACCAAGAAAGAATATTACCTTTGCTAGGCAAACTAACAAAAACACACCACAGCTGTTTCAGTAAGTTCAATCAATATTTTCTAATATTCCATCTTTAATAGTTCTAAATGACCCCAAACCAATCTTAAGAATTAACACAAAAACTGGCTTTTACTCTACATACTGAATTACCATTTTAAAACTATTTACCCTTCATGCGAGGCTACTAGGTAATTTGGCTAATTTAAAAATACACACATAGGGGTTCGGGGGGAGGTGCGGATGGCTAATGGGTACAAAAAATAGAAAGAATGAATAAGACCTACTCTTTGATCGCATAGTAGGGGTGATTACAGTCAATAATAACTTAATTGTGCATTTTAAAATCAGAGTACAATTGGATAGTTTGTAACATGAAGGATGAATGTTTGAGGGATGGATACCCCATTATCTATTATGTGATTATTTTACATTGCATGCCTGTAACAAAACAGCTCATGTACCCCGTAAATACATACACCTACTATGTACCCACAAAAATTAAAAATAAAAAACTTAAAAATATAAACAGGCAAACAAATAAATACCAACAACCTGGAGAACAAGAAAAATCATCCTGTCACTCACTTGTTCTTTCAAAAATAAACCCTTTTTAAAGATTTTTCAAGTCTTCTGATTACAAAAGGTAGAAAGTAAGGGAGAAAAGAGAAGGAAGGAGAAATTTTCCCCTTTACTTTAACACATACTCATCTCTCTTTCAAAGACTACAGGCTAGTCTTTTTAAAGCTACATTTAAAAAGAACATGTGTCCCATACTACATGTATTTTTAAGGAAACTTACCAGAAAGGGGTCCCGATCCAGATCCCAAGAGAGGGCTCTTGGATCTCATGCAAGAATTCAAGGTGAGTCCATAGAGTAAAGTGTAAGCAAGTTTATTAAGAAAGTAAAGGAATAAAGAATGGCTACTCCATAGGCAGAGCAGCCCTGAGGGTGGCTGATTGACCATTTTTATGCTTATTTTTTGATTACATACTAAACAAAAGGTGGATTATTCATGAGTTTCCTGGGAAAGGCATGGGTAATTCCCAGAGCTGAGGGTTCCTCCCCTTTTCTCACCATATAGGGTAACTATTTTTTTTTTTTTTTTTTTTTTAGACAGAGTCTCACTCTCTCGCCCAGGCTGGAGCGCAGTGGTGTGATCTTGGCTCACTGCAACCTCCACCTCCCAGGTTCAAGCAATTCTCCAGCCTCAGCCTCCCAATGTTAAATATAGTGAACCCCAAGTTTCTCTTCAAAGAATCAGTATGTCAGTATGTTCAGCTCTCTTATTCTTTGATTCTCCATTTTAAACTTCCTGGTTCTCTTTGCCCACTTGATTCTAGTTTCACTAAACAACTTTCCCACCAGTCCGAATCAGTAGTTTACGTCTGTTCCCCTGATTACCTGCTCTGTCCTGACTCATCCCAGTCACCTGCTGTGACCTAAGTCACCTTTAGTTACCTGTTCCTAACTGTCCTTCCTGCCAAACTACTCACCCCGCCACTCTGGCTCATACACCTGCCCTCTTTAAAATAGCCAATCGTAATTAGTTTAGACTGTGCAGTCCAACCCCAGCCAATAGGGGAATGACACAACAGTAGAGGGTACCTGCATCAGGAATAAGAACTCCTGCCCCTCCCCTGTCCAGGTGTGCTCTCACCATTGTTCCATCTGCGAGGGGCACCCTTTCTGCAGAAAGTAAAAGTTGCCTTGCTGAGAAAATTAAATTTATGTTCGAGTGCTATTTCTTTACAGCACCGGGGAACAAGTATTTTGCATTTCCAACACCAAGTAGCTGGGATTACAGGCGTGTGCCACCACGCCTGGCTAATTTTTGCGTTTTTAGTAGAGATGGGATGGTGCCATGTTGGCCAGGCTGGTCTCAAACTCCTGACCTCAGGTGATCTATCCACCTCAGCCTCCCAAAGTGCTAGGATTACAGGCGTGAGCCACTGTGCCTGGCCATATAGGGTAAGTTTCTGACATTGCCATTTCATTTGCAAACTGTCATGGTGCTGATGGGAGTGTAGCAGTGAGGACCACCAGAGGTCACTTTCATTGCCATCTTGGTTTTGGTCTTGGTTTTGGTGGGTTTTAGCTGGCTTTTTCACTGCAACCTGTTTTATCAGCAAGGTCTTTATGACCTATAACTTGTGCTGACCTCCTATCTTATCCTGTGACTTAGAATGTCTAACTTACTAGAAATGCAGCCCAGCAGGTCTCAGCCTTATTTTACCCAGCCCCTATTCAAAATGGAGTCACTCTGGTTCAAAGGCCTCTGATAAAACTGTTTCCATGGAATTAGCCCGCTTATTAAATATTACTCTGATATTTCCAAAGCAGTTACCTATTTTGGTGTAGCACCAACAACACTAGACCAGGGGTTTGAATTCCTGGGTCCCAGTGCTGGTGCTGGCATGAACCTGAGGCATCTAGTGATAAGAGTCCACTAGATTATTAATTAAAGGCATTGAGTGGTTAGTCATGGAGACCCAGATTCAAGCACAAGTTATATCACTTAGTAGCCATGTAACCTTCAGCAGGACATTAAACCACTCCAAGCTTAAAGCCTCATCTGTAAAATAGAGGTGATCATGATGGTGCCTACCTCATGGGACTACAGGGGAGATTCAAAGTGACACTGCAGATAAGTGCTCACCACAATCTTTTTTTTTTTTTCTTTTTCTTTTGAGAGGGAGTCTCACTCTGTGGCCCAGGCTGGAGTGCAGTGGTGCAATTTCGGCTCACTGCAACCTCTACCTCCCAGGTTCAAATGATTCTCCTGCCTCAGCTTCCCGAGTAGCTGGGATTACAAGCACCCGCCACCATGCCCAGCTAATTTTTATGTTTTTGGTAGAGACAGCGTTTCGCCATGTTGGCCAGGCTGGTCTCAAACTCCTGAACTCAGGTGATCCGCCCGCCTTGGCCTCCAAAAGTGCTGGGATTACAGGCATGAGCCACTGTGCCTGGCCCAGCACAGAGTCCTTCTCACTGCAAATACTAACAAAAGTGAGCCATTACTATGAGCTATCTTTCCATCTGTGCCTACCAGAATCCAAGAGCTTTGGGGAGGAGTGGTGCTTCACATATTTTAAAAAATGGTAAATATTAAAACTCTCTAAGGTGTCAATTCACTGCTTTTTATCAAATTTATATTCTGGATTTCCACAGAACGTTTTTTTGGGGGAAAAAAAGAGTGTTTAAGAAAGTTCTAAGAACATTAGACTAGATGATCTTATAGCTTAAGCCTTACCTTTCTGTGAGCCTATGGCCTCTCTGCGGGGTGGCTCTTCTCTTGGAGCTACCATTTACACACTAAAATAGAGAAGTGTGTCTTGACTGTTTCAGACATACCTTCTTTCTAACATATCACCAGCACTGTATCTGCAGGTACTTCTGCCACTGCTCACACATACAGGATGCAATTGATGGCCTACAGTCCTTTATGACAACTCTTCAGGGGACAAGATACAGCAAATCAAGGGTACCACTGCACAAAAGCATGTCACACTATTCTCTCCTGGTTTCCGAGTAGCAGTAATCCACTCTAATCAGAATTGCCAACCTAGAGAAAAAACTGCCATGCAGTTTTCAAACTAAGGAACAAGTAGCAAGGCAGGGGGTGGCGGGTGCTGCTGGAACTGATGAAGTGGGGACCAAGGAGAATGTCTTTGTGATTGGAACCTGAGACCTTCAATCTCCCCCTACCTCTTGAGGCCAGCCCACCTGAAGAAACAAGATTTAGGCTCTAAAGTAGCAGAAAACATTTTTTGAGATAAAGACTCTGTTATTAAACCTAAATATTCTCATGGTTCTCCTTCTTTAACATGTTGCGTGTGTATGTCCACATTAACAGTTAAGCCAAATATTGAATCCCCACTTTCCCATTTCCAGATCCAATCACAGTAGGCATATTCTTCAGTCCTGGGTAACTGAGATTTCTCACTCCTCAGGTCTCAGCCTAGATGTCTCCACTACTAGGAAGAATTCCCAGAAGAACTTGTCTTTTTGCTCCTCAAGACTACAAACTCTGTGAAAGCAAGGTCTACATTTTGTTCACTGCTATATCCCCAATACCTTACACAATGAATATCACATAGCAGTCTGTATCAGTGAGAGTTCTCCAGACAGACAGATAGATAGACGAGAGAGTATTTACCAGGGGACTTAGCTCACGCAATTATGGAGGCCAAGAAGTCCCACAGGAGTCCATCTGCAAGCTGGAGACCTTGGATGCCGGTAGTGTGGCTCAGTCCAAGTCCGAAAGCCTCAGAACCAGGAAAGCCAATGTTATAATTCTTAGTCTAAGGCCAAAGGCCTGAGAACCTGAGAGTGAGGTAGTGGGGGCTGCTGGTATAAATCCGGGAGTCCAAAGGCTGAAGAGCCTGGAGTCTGATGTCAAAGGGCAGGAAAAGAAGAGTGTCTCAGCTTCAGGAGAGAGAGAGAGACAGAGAGAGGAAATCACCTTTTCTCTGCCTTTTCTGTCTACCTGGGCCGCCAGCAGATTGGATGTTCCATGCCCACACTCAGGGCAGATGTACCCCACTAGTCTGCCCACCCACCCACATACTGATCTCCTCTGGGAACACCGCACAGACACACCCAGAAGTGACACTTTACTATCTAGGTATCTCTTAATCCAGTCAAGTTGACACTTACAATTAACCATCACATGGGCCCTTAAGAAATATTTGAATGAATAAAGTTTCTCATCCAAAAGCATAATAAACAGCATAACAGCATTCAGGCATTCACCTTTCCCTGAAGGTGAGACATTTTTCAAAGCAGGTTTCTTTTTCAATTTTTTTAATAGGGAAATTTTAATTCAAAATAATTCTTATAATCAACTAGTTACATCCTTTGTTCTTTGTTAAGGACAAGAGGAGGGATATAGATAGGTTATTCTGAAAACTAAGAAGGATAAGGAGGCTGGGGGAGGTGGCTCACACCTGTAATCCCAGCACTTTGGGAGGCTGAGGCCGGTGGATCACGAGGTCAGGAGATCGAGACCATCCTGGCTAACATGGTGAAACCCCATCTCTACTAAAAATACAAAAAATTAGCCGGGCGTGGCAGTGGGCACCTGTAGTCCCAGCTACTCGGGAGGCTGAGGCAGGAGAATTGCTTGAACCCGGGAGGCAGAGGTTGCAGTGAGCCGAGATCATGCCATTGCATTCCAGCCTGGGAGATAGAGCGAGACTCTGTCTCAAAAAAAAAAAAAAAAAAAAAAAAAAGAAGGATAAGGAAATATTTTGCCTTGGAAATTTTAGTCAATCTTATTAGCAATATGGGTGGATATGAATTTAACATGTATGTTCTGCCTTGAAACTACTAGTTTTTTATGGCTTAATTAACACAATATCAAAGAAAGATTAAACTGCAAAAAGTCATTGCATTTACTTTTCATTCCACATTATCAATATGTAGAAATATTAATCCATGCTACCCAGACCTTTCTGGGAAACCAACTGCTCTTTTGGAAAATGCAAAAATAGTGAGGGCAGTGAGGACTTCCACACTTTTTGTTTTTAGACAGAGTCCCACTGTGTTGCCCAGGCTGGAGTGCAGTGGCATGATCACAGCTCACTAAAGCTTTGCCCTCCAGGGCTCAAGTGGTCCTCCCACCTCAGCCTCTCCAAGTAGCTTTGCAGGTGCACACTACCACACCTGGCTAATTTTTGTATTTTTTTGTAGATAGGGGGTCTCCCTATGTTACCCAGGCTGGTCTCAAATACCTGGGCTCAAGACAAACTCCTGCCTCAGCCTCCCAACTTCCACACCTCTGAACCTGCAGAGCAAGGCTGTATTAAGATGACAGCTCAGAGAACTGGTTCCAGAGGCAAGATTAAGTCAAGCTGAGCCAGCTTCCATGGATTTCCTTTTCTCAATACCATGGCAGAAGAGGGGAAAGGCCACACAGCCAGACACTGCAACTACCACCTAAACCCATAACCCCTAAGAATCCTATTTCCAAGCACAAAGCACTAAACAGCATCACAGAGTCTGAGGTCTCGGTCTGTGAGGGACAGGCCATATTTCAGGTCCCCATCTTCACACTCCCTCCAGTTGATCTTAAACAGTGGCACCTGGGAAGCTCTAAGCAGGAAAAGGAGAAATTAAATAATGACAAAGTTGGACTGTTTGGTGAGGTTAATCAGTATCCCTGTATCTTAGACCCAAAGTGTTGAAAACATTGATTATTTTGGTATATGGTCATAAGCTGCACCTCCAAGTTTGGGCAGCTATGTCTCACTGTAAGTGAAGCCAGATCGGGGTCAATGGGTTAAGGTAAGTGAAAAACAATGTGACATAGTGAAAACAATCAGAGCTTGAAAACAAGAAACATAATACTTATTCTGCTCCCAACCAGCTATACGAACTTGGACAGTTACTTCACTACTCTGTGTCTCACTTTATCTTCAAAATATGGAGCTTTAGTAAATGATTTTGTCCCGTGTCCTCCAGTTTCTGAATCTTAGAATTCTACAAATCCCACCACATCACTATTGAAAATTAGCCAAATAAGTACTCAGGGAGTACCATGTGCTTATTGCCCTAAGCACTTTGGTTCAACGCAATTTGAGCCATGACACTTGCCCTAGATCATCTATCACGTTAGCAAAGATGCATCAAAATTTTCACAATCAATCAGTGCCTTGAAACACCCTAGAGTTTTCCACTACAGAAGTAATAAATAGATACAACCTACTGAAAGGCAATTTTGCAAACATACCAGAAGTCTTTTTTAAGCCATAATCTTTGATCCATTTAATTGTAGAAATGTTTCTAGTTATAAAAAATTAGAAGGAAACAATATGTCCACTACAGTCTAAATAACAAATTAAATTGTTTGCATTCATTATAATGGTGACTTAGATTATTTAATGACAGGCAAATGCTCACACTATAATATTAAGCAAAAAAAGCAAGATGCAAAATTATATACATGGTATGATAATAATTATGTATAATGTGTGTACGTATAATGCCCTATATTGTGAAAGATATATGTATAATATTTACAAATAAGTTCAGGAACACAGATAACCTGTGAATAGTAGTTATCTCCAGGTGTATTGTATGCTATTCTTTGGTGTCTCCATATTCCAAATTCTCTATTATAGCATTCAATAATTATAATCAAAGAATTTTTTCATATATATACAGGACTGCAGGATACAAAACAATGAAGGCTTTAGCTTTTCTATGCCTATTACATGCATTAGGAGTTCAGAAAGCCATCCCTATGGGCTGGTGGTGAGGGGCTAAGCATACAGTTTTGGAGGGGGTTCACTTTACAGCATGTTTATCATACAAGGAGAATTTAGGTTTACAGTACAGTGCTTAAGAGCACAGACTCTAGAGCTGGATTTCCTAGGTTCAAATCTTAGCCCTGCCACATCTGCTGGATGAGGTTAAGCAAGTCACTCCACCTCTGTGCCTCAGTTTTCTCATCTATAAAATGGGGTACCAGTTCTTTCTTCATGGAGTTATTGTAAGAGCTAAACAAATTCACATAGGAAAGAGTTTCAGAACAGTGTCTATCTGACACATAGTAGCAATACATAAGTGCTAACATAATTATTAGAAGGGCATTTTAGGCAACATAATAACAATAGTAGTTCACCCTTTTGCTAAATTCTTACTGTGTCAGATACATAACACAACTCACACCTCAGAAGTATATGAAGGATGGGCTAGCATTATGCCCAATTTATAGATGAGAAATCTAAGGCACAGAGAGGTTGCCTTCCTGAGGTAAGTGGCTGAACCAGCATTTGATCTCAAGCAAATCTGCTCCCCCATGCTCTTAACCATGGTGCCATGCTGTAGGGAGCGGAAAACAAGCTTATTTCCCCCAGGGAAGACAACTGACTTTTGAGGAGCAGGAACTGCCACTGACAGAGTTCATGGAACCGAGTAATGACAGCCAGGCAAGGGAGTCAGGGGCCAGTTCATGAGGCAACTGGGAGCTCATAAAGAATTCTGAGCATAGTTATTGTAGGACAAAAGAGGGATGTAAGGAAATGAGTCTGGCAGATAAACATGGGATAAGTTGGCATGAGGCAAACGAGGCTGTTGAGAGAGAGAGAGAATACTGCAGGTAAAGCAGGTAGTACAGTGATGAGGGACTAAGCCAGGTGATAGCAAAGAGAATATAGAGTGGGACAAATCAAAACAACTTTGAAGGGAAAATTAAGAGAGCTTACAAATACTTAATACTGGGAATAAAAAAAAGCAGGGGATGTGGAGGGGACAAGTCACATTCCACCAAGGGCTGGACAAAAAAAGTTTCCATGTATTTTGATTTCCTTAAATGTTGTTTTGTGCAATTACTTATTTTTAAAGCATTGTTTAAAAACCTAACCAAGAGCAGCACAAAACAGAGCACCACACACACAACACTGTGTTGTAGAAAAAACTGGGTTCTCGTCACACAACCAGGAAAAGTTAGCCACACACACACTTTGAAGGGTGAAGGGGAACAGAATTTACTGGGCAAAAAAGAAAAAAAAGAAAACCTCTCAACAAAGTGAGAGAGGTTCCTCTTAACAGGAAAGGAGAGGCCAGGCTCCTCCCCACTGCAAATGGTGTGAACTTCCCAAGGCTCCAACCCATCCTCCCAGTGCACAGGCCAGTCAGAGATTCTCCAGGGACCCCTTTTTACTTGGCTGTCTCAATTGTACTCTGCATAAGCAATGCTTGATGACCGAAAAGGCGTACTGTAGTAAGTGACAAAAGTGTAATTAGCAAGGAATCATGGAGCATGAACATCTATTGTGTAAAGGAGCAACTATTTACAAAATCAAGATAAAAGAACCCACTAATGGCTACTACCGACAGAGCCCAGGTCTGATAACATCTCCCAGCATAAAGGCACACTGATTTACCCCTTGTTTTAAAGAAGCAGCCAGAGCTTGCCAACAAAAATATGTGATTGATCTAATTAGCTCACTGAACTGAGGAAAACAGTGTGCCAAAATCATGTGTACTCACAGATTACTCCTTCCAGGACAAAGCAGTGTTGCATAAAAGCCTATCCTTCAACTTAAACGTCACACTCATTAAAAGGGACGAAACCCAGCAGTACTTGGCATGCAGGAGCTTAATGAATATTATTGGATGTTGATGACACAGACATGAGTCTCAAAAGAATGAGCTCTCGTGATGGAAAAGAGAAAGAAACATAAAGGACTGTAAAAATGTATATGCAGTGGCTAAACTCCAATTACCAGCTCAGGCCAGGCAATTTTACTCCATTATGCCTGCATTAACATTCCCACTCTCAACTTAATGCTTTATTAACCTAACTGATAATGTCCCTCTTCACTCAGGGTTATTAGCAAATACAAGTCTGTTGAGACTGGCAAACCAGTTCATTCATTCAACAAATATTCCTGGGTACTTACCATCACAGGTAATAAACAATGATCTCTAGTCTTTTTGTTACTAATGCAAGAGAGGGTCTAAAAACTAGTGTAGCATATCTTAAAAAAAGTCCTTAATGGGAAGAGATGAACACCCTAGAGAAAAGTAACAACACTAGCTTCATCAAGTAGTCTGCTGATGACTCACTGGTTAGCTTTAGGAGGTACGTACATACTCAAAAAGCACGAGGATATTATTCTACTGTGTCTCACTCATGGACTGGAGCCAAAGTCAAGATAAGGAAAATTTTTATGTAGTTGTTTATCCAAGTTGTCTTGTCTGTTCTACCTTCAACATCACTGCCTCGGGGGAACATTGGACCAGGAAGCCATAGAAGCTCATGCTCCTGGAGCCCTGAGAAGTCTGGGAATAACCTAAGCAGCAAAGCAGCTGCCTGACTCAGGAGAGCAAAACACACCCAGAAAATACAATGGGAGCAGAACAAAGATTTGGCCATATAAGCTGACTGTTAATATTTTTTATTTTCTAAACTTATTTTTACCACTAGGATTTTATATAAGAAACTCTTTATCAGTTCATGTCTGAAGTAAGGATAGTTTATTATACCCAATTTTACTGCTGTAGAGTATTCTGAACACCTTTGAGCTTAAAAATGAATCACTTTATATTGAATAAGCACCACTTAATGAGAAATTTTTCACAGGAAGATAAAATGTCGATTTTACCATTTTATGAAATGTATACTTACTTATATTTAAGTATTTGAAAAGCTAAAACTAGGTAGAACTAAGGTATAAAGTGAAAGGATCAAACTTAAAAAAATATATGAGGTATTTCTGGATAGTCCGCTTTTGAAAGCACTGTTTTCTGTAAAAAGAGATCCTCTTCCCAAGTTGGCTGCAGGCTAGTCTTGGTCAACTACTCTATTTTATTAGCAATATAGCTCTGTGGGATGGAACTACAGAAACTCTATTGCAACTGGGATGATGGTTTGTAGATTAAGAGAAAATACCATTTAAGGTACATAATCATTTTAAAAAATGACACATATGTTCCTATCTTAAATATTTAATCATGAAACTTAAAAAAGCAAATTTATTTGCCAGCATTTTCACATAGGCCAAGGCTATTTCTTTAAGTACAGGTCTGCTGATTGAAGGTCAAAGTTGTCTTTCTTGCATAAACCTAACTTCCCATTTAGGTTACTTGAAGTTGAGAAGAACCTCAGTATGAATCAATTCAGTGCAGAATCCTTCCATATTTTAAACATCTTTGCCAATCATTTAGAGTTCTCTCTTCCACATCCAATTTGACACCAATATCTTATGGCAAGTTGCCTTTAGTCTTTCCAATTAATTCAACTTCATCAAAATAAACAATTTCCTTTTCACACACATATTTCATCAGTATACTTGTTATTTAATGAAACTATGTAATTACTGTAACAATGCACACAACTCAGCAGTGGGAGGAAATGTTTGGAACCTTGAGCACACATGGGAAATAGCCTACCAGACAGGGCACTCAGCAGGGAGTGGGCATGAGAGTCAATGTACTTTCCAGAGAGAATGGAAAGCACTGGTAAACCAGGGAACCACATAGATTGGTTAAGAGAACGTCCACTGTATTTTTTTTTTTTTTTTTTTTTTTTAGACAGAGTCTCCCTCTGCCACCCAGGCTGGAGTGCAATGGTGAGATCTCAGCTCACTGCAACCTCCGCCTCCCAGTTTCAAGCTATTCTCCCGCCCCAGCCTTCCTAATAGCTGGGATTAGAGGCACCCACCATCATGCCCGGCTAATTTTTTATTTTCACCACGTTGGCCAGGCTAGTCTTGAACTCCTGACCTCAGATGATCCACCTGCCTCAGCCTCCCAAAGCGCTGGGATTACAGGTGTGAGCCACTGTGCCTGGCCACGTCTACTGTACTATAAAAAGAAGTCAGTTGTATTCTCAAAAGCTAGTCTCTAACTTAAAACAGTAACTTTAATCATGGTTATTCTTGCTTAAAAAAGTATCAGTTAAGTCTCTCAGAGAGGGAATATCTGTGGCTTTCTGCCACATCCTTTGGGGGAGAAGTGCTACAGAGTCATCGTTTTTGAAAAAGGAAGCATATACTGCTATCTATATAGCCTAAGGTTATCCCCAGAGTTTAATTTGCAATATTTACACTGGACAATAATCCCTAATAGAACGGCTGGTAGAAAAAATACTGGCCTTGAGCAGCACACTTACAAGAAAATTGACAAAGAGATTTGCAAATTTATATTCTCCCTCCCAACCTCACCTAAAGACACTGCTCCATACCTATGTAAAACTATTACAAATTGGCAGCCAGAATACTGAATCCAGCCCACAGATTTATGTTTTATTTTCATCTGGAGACCTTTGAATATAACATTCATGCTCTAGTTTGTCATAGAACTCATCACATTCTATGGTCTCACATCCGCCTGACCCCAGTGTGCATGCCACTGAGCCAGCTAGATACACAGTTCCGCCATAACTTGACTCTGTATAGAAAGTTTGGTTAGTTTCTGGCAACACCAGAAGTGTTCTTAGAGAGGAGGTATGCGCTTTTGCAGAAGTACCCAACCACATCTCTAAAGAAAGACTAGAGAGCTCACTTACCATGGAGAAATAGTAATGGCTCAAGGTAACTATTCAAAAACTTTAGCATTCCTAAGAACCATGTGGGAATCTTTCTGAAATGCAATTCCTAGGGCCCTATCCCTTCAGATTCTGATTTGGAAGGTCTGGGAATGGAAATCCAGGAATCTGCATTTTAAAAAGTACTTCAGGTGACAGGACAGATGCAAGAGGTGAAATAATAAAAATGTTAACAACTATGAGCAGTTACCAGGCCCTATACCAAGCACTTTACATGTAACAACTTAATCCTGGAACAACGCTATAAAATGGGTACTATTATTATTATCCTCATTCTACAACTGAAGAAATTGATGAAAGGAGAGATTAAGAAACATGCCTGTGCTTATACAACTAGTAAGGGGAAGAGCCAGGATGAAAAACCAGGCCATGAGGTTAAAGAGTTCACCCTCAACCATCTCCTTATACTCCACTACTACTATGGTCTAAGGGAACGTTCTCAACATGAAATACAAACCCCTCAAAGTTTGCTGCTTCTGACTCAGTTAAAGTCATTTATCCCTTACCCATGAATCCCCACTGTCACATTCACCACCATCCTTCCTGGTCAGGATGAAGAGTTCTTTTACATGTTACAATTACAGAAATTGTGGAAGAATTGGCAAAAGAGGCTATGACTGGGATGAATGCCAAGACTCAGATGCCCCTATTCTGAAGCAGGATTGCAACATTTCAGAAAAGCTCTGACAGCCTGAAATAAAAGAGAGCTGTACCATTCTCCAGCTAAAGATATGAAAAAGGAAAAAACAATAGTCTAGTTGTTAACAAAACAAAGGATATTCCAACCCAATTTCTAACACAGTTACCTCAAGCTGCAAAATTATGACCAATGTTAGAGGGTCTCTAAGGGATGAGTCAAAAGTCCATACCAGCTAGGAAAAGAGTTCTTAGACTTGACACCACAAGCACAATCTGTAAAAGAAAAAACTGATGAATTGAACATCATCAAAACTTAAAACTTTTGCTCTATGAAAGCCCATGTGAAGAAGATGAAAAGGTAAACTACAGACTGGCAAAAATATCTGCAAACCACATACTTGAAAAAGGACTAGTGTCTAAAATATTAAACTCTCAAAACTCAACAGTAAAAAATTAGAAAAGGGGCAAAAGACATGAACAGAGATAATTCTGAGGAAATACAGAAGGCAAACAAGCACATGAAAAAAGTTCAACATTACTAGCTATTAGGGAAATGCAAATTAAAACCACAAAGATATATTACTGCATATCTATCAGCATGGCTTAAATTAAAAACAGTGAAAATAGTAAATGTCAGAAAAGATGCAGAGATACTAGATCACTTGCTGGTAAGAGTTTAAAGTGGTATAGTCACTCTGGAAAACATTTGGCAGTTTCTTAACTAAACATGGGCTGGGACAATGGCTCACACCTGTGATCCCAGCACTTTGGGAGGCTGAGGAGGGAGGATCACATAAGCCCAGGAGTTCAAGGCCAGCCTGGGCAAAATGGTGAAACTCTGTCTCTACCAGAAAAAATAAAAATAATTAGCTGGGTTAGTGGTGACCACCTGTAGTCCCAGCTACTCAGGAAGCTGAAGTGGGAGGATCGCTTGAGACTGGGAAGTCAAAGCTGCAGTGAGTCGTGTTCATGCCACTGTACTCCAGCCTGGGCAACGGAGTAAGACACTGTCAAAAAAACAAAAAAATAAAGAATAAAAAAGCAAACATGTAACTACTGTTCAATCCAGCAACTGACCTGCTGGGCATTAATCCCAGAGAAAGGAAAACTTATGTTAACACAAAAACCCGTATACAAATGTTCATAGTAGTTTTATTTCTAAGAGCCAAAAACCAGAATCAGCTGAGATATCCTTCAATAGGTAAATGATTAAACAAACTGTGGTACATCTATACCATGAAATACCACTCAGCAATAAAAAGTAATGAACTATTGATACCAACAACAGCTTGAATGACTCTGCAGGGAATTATGCTGAGCGAAAAAAGCCAATCTCAAATAGTTTCATCCTGTATGATTCCACCTATATAACATTTTTTAACGATAAAATTTTAGAAATGGAGGATAGATTTGTGGTTGCTAGGGATGATGTATGGGAAAATGGGGGCAGGGAGGGCAGGAGGGAAGTGGTGTGATTATAAGAGGGCAATAGAAGGGACCCACATAGTGTTGGAACTATTCAATATGTTGACTTTGGTGGTAGATATACAAACTTACACAGATGGCAAACTTTGTAGAATGTAATGCGGGCACACACAAAGAGCACAAGTAAAACTAAGGAAGATGTGTGAACTGTATCAATGTCAATAGCCTGGTTATGGCATTATGCCATAGTTTTGTAAACTGTTACCACTGGGGGAAACTGGGCAAAGTGTAGGAAGGATCTCTCTGTATAATTATTACAACAGCATGTGAATCTACAATTATCCCAATAAACATTTTTATTGGGGGGAAAAAAAAGTTCATGTTCTCAAGTGTGAACTCAGACAGTGCATTCTTTCACCGGGAATATAAAATGGCCCACTCTTTCCAGAAGGCATTTGGCAATGCTACCAAAAGTGAGAAACTCACATAACCTTTTATCCAACAATTCCATTTTTAGAGTATTAACTGTAACGAACAAATTGTAATGTGTTGAAAATTAAGGGACAAAAGCATTTATTCAGCAATGGCTTTTATACTTAAAGACTAGAAACAACTAAATGTGGTACATACACACTATGAAGTTCTACCTAGTCATCAAAATAATCTTTTGGAATTAAACAGTGAACCTGGAATGATAGTCAAGATACATTCAGTTGTTCCACAAATATTTATTCAATTCCTTCTACAGGCCAGGCACTATTCTTGCACTGGGAGTTTTAACAAATGCCAAATAAGGTATGATCCCAATGTTTCATTAAACTGTACAGTCTGAATGATTGTTAGTAAGTAAATAGGTGAGAAAGAACTAAACACACATTTCTGTGTGTGTAGTTACAAATACACATATAAGTATGGACATACATACACATATGCACATAGATATACACATAGATATGTATATATAGTGTAAATTCCAGAAGGACATAACTGGAAATGTCAATAATGGTTCCTTCTGGAAAGTGGGATTGTGTATGTTTAGTTTTGTTTATCTGTATATTCTAAATTCCTATAATTACTAAGTATAACTAGATTGATTTTTTAATTATTGGAGGAAAAAAGACTGGTCCCCAGAGAGTGCCATTTTATGACATATTTGGCATTAAATGGGTTTATTTAACCAATCTGCTCGTGGCTGGGTATTTAGTTTGCTTTTAGGTTTTCAGTGTCATAAACACTGTGCAAGGAATTTCCTTTATTTTTCCCTTTGAGACAGGGTCTTGCTCTGTTGCCCAGGCTGGAGTGCAGTGGCACAATCACAGCTCACTGCAGCTTTGATTTCCGGGGCTCAAGCAATCCTCTCCACCTCAGCCTTCCATATAGCTGGTACTACAGGTGTGCACCACCACACCCGGCTGATTTTTTTACTTTTTGTAGAGACAGTCTCCTTACGCTGTCCAGGCTGGTCTTGAACTCCTAGGCTCAAGAGATCCTCCTGCCTCAGCTTCCCAAGTGCTGGAATTACAGGTGTGAGCCATGATGCCCAGCCAAGGAACATTCTTTTAACTAAGCATTTGAACATACCCATGATTTTGTCCTTCAATTAGAATCCCAGAAGTGGAAACATCAGCTCAAAGAGTAGGAATATCTGAAGGCTTTTGATGTAAACGGACTCCTCAAAAGTTGTACTGCTTTAAACTCCAATAACTAGTGATCCATTTTCTCCATGCTCACTAATGCTGCTAATCAACACTGAGGATTAACTTGTTCTTGGATTCTCTAGAATTTCACTTTTGGGGGAAAAAATTATTTTAACAGCAGATAAATACACTATAATTACTTGGTTGTCAGTTAAATTTGAAAATATAATTTGTCAATTTTACTTTAATTGCAGAATTTTGACAGACCCACTAAGATAAACAAAAAATCATCTCTGCAGAACTCTATATTTAATTCAATGATCTTTATTTAGATAACCATTGTGGATTCATATCTGACATCTCTAAATCTTCAGCTTACAGAGATCAGCCTCCCCAACAAGAACTCCCAAGCTAAGGACAGAGGTGGCCTTTTTATAGTAACTACCTCATAGGAGCAATATGGGGAAAGGTGACACAATAGAAGCTCCATGTGCCTCCACGGACATATTAAATGGTTCCCAGATGTTGTTTACTATTAGTGTTTCTATTATAAGTAACATACCTTTAACATAACATAGTGAGAACTTAAATAGCTGCTATTTCAATCCTCTTTTCATTTTACAGATGAGAAAACTGGAGTTTGCAAAGGTGGGCCTCAAATTCAGGTTTCCTTAACGCCAGTCTGATACTCTTTATCTAACACTATTTTGTCTTTTGGTAGGTTTTCTATGGACAGACTGAAAGCTAGAGACACCTTAATTCTCACAATTACACTAATCAGAGCAATCTACAATTTGAGATTTAAGTCTACATGCTCAAAATATACTTCATTTACAGATATCTGCCTGGTTAATAATAATTCTCTAAAGCAGATATTTTAAGTTGCAGGCTAAAAGCAAATGGGTTTATATCTGCCTCAGAAGATGATGAATGATTGATTACAAATCTCTACTCTGATACAGGGTTTCTGATTGCATTAGACACAGGCATGAAGACTAATTAAAAATGCTCATATATTCATCACGGTTGATTGTGCATAATCCACTGCTGAAAGTACAAGTGCAGCACCTTCTCTAAAATGACAGAGGAAACAGATGAATTTCCACTCAGAACTCCCGGAGGCTACCTGTCTTGAATTCAGGGTAAATGGGCTTTCCCTAATAACCTAAATCACAAACAGAATGATAGTTAAAAAACCCTACACCAAATTTTACTATTCTATCTGAACAGGGGCTGGCTAGGCCTGGTCACATGTTATGTGATCAATAAATAATTACAGATGGATTGGTAAACAGTTCTATAGGCATACTCTACAAATTTTCAAAACTAATTTTTCTAGATGCCTACAAAATTGGAAGTCACAATTATGTGTTACAATGAGCCAAAGGAAATATATCCTTTTTTTGTTTGTTTGTTTGTTTGTTTGTTTTGAGACAGGGCCTCGATCTGTTTCCTAGGCTGGAGTGTAGTGGCACAATCACAACTCACTGCAGCCTCAACCTCCTGGACTCAAGCAATCCTCCCGCCTAGGTGCCCCCCAACCCCGACCACCAGCCCAGTAGCTGGGACCACAGGCATGCACCACCATGCTCAGCTAATTTTTTAAAATTTTTGTAAAGACAGGGTCTTGCCACGTCAACCAGGCTGGGGAAATAAATCCTACATACCACCAAAAACACTCCTTAAACTGACTCCCTTATATACATGCTCCAGCCCTAGAGTGGGTAGCTAGTACAGATCTCTCTCCACAGCTAAAGGGCTACAATTATTATCTGACAGTCGAGTGTTGCACTCACCTGCAAAAACATCAATAAGGTTGATATGGTTTGGCTGTGCCCCCAAACTTCAACTTGAATTGAATCTCCCAGAATTCCCACGTGTTGTGGGAGGGACCCAGGGAGAGGTAATTGAATCATGGGGGCAAGGCTTTCCCATGCTATTCTCGTGACAGTGAATAAGTCTCACAAGATCTGGTGGGTTTATCAGGGGTTTCCGCTTTTGCTTCTTCATTTTCTCTTGCTGCTGCCATGTAAGAAGTCCCTTTCACCTCCCGCCATGACTCTAAGGCCTCCCCAGCCATGTGGAACTCTAAGTCCAATTAAACCTATTTTTCTTCCCAGTCTCAGTATGTCTTCTCCTACTATCTGTTCTCCTATTATCTGTTTCTCCTATTCCTCAGGAAATGTCTGTCCTCTCCCTGACTCCACCGCCATCCCAGAAAGCACCCCCCACCAAGTTCCTCTTTGATCTGATTCAGGAGTTAGAATCCTTACCTAGCTTTAGGACATAAGGATGGCACTCACTGTGTTGCCTGAAAGTGCCCCAGTACTAAAGGAGCATACGCTAACCTTCCTCCAGGAGGCTCTTGTGGCACCTCTGGATGTCTGTAATGAGAGTGGCCATGAGGGTAGAAAAAGAAAGAGTACCTTGTCCATGAAAACTGCACAACAGAGTGTGTGTTTGGAGGACTGGCTTAAAACTCAAAATCCTGTTGAATGAAGATACTTGAGGTACTAGCTTTTGACCCACTTAATGTACAAAGGATCTGGCAAATGAAAGTAGATTAGAAATTACACAATCTGTGTAAATAGCAAGAAAAAGATTTATGAAATTCAACACAGCAACTATAAACCTAAGGTGGAAAGGGGAAAAATAATGAAGACTCTGAGCTTGAAAATCATCCCAGTTTCGCAATGACAAAACCAAAAAAACGATATAGACCAAACAACAGCAGAGCTGTCATGTAGCTACTCAACTTCTGCTTTTAAAAAAATAATCAAATAGCAGCATTGAAATATGCGATGCCACGTATCCACATACTCTACATTTCTTCCATATAAAATGCTACTGAGCAAAACTTACCTTTTTTATTTTGTAACTTTCTTTTACATTCCTTATATATTTCTGTGTTGATTTTTTAAATTCTTGCCTTCTTTACCTCATTCTCTTCTTCATATACTTCTTTTTGGGCCCTGGAGATCCAGATTCTGACTTAGGCTCTGTCCTTGTAGATACCAATGTAATTTACGTAAGTGGCATGCATTGCACATAAATTTATTCAGTAAATTCTACTCTGTACCAGGACCAGTGCTAGGTACAAGGAAGACAACAGTGAACAAGTCAAACATGGTTCCTCTCTTTATGGAGCTTAGATATGAAATCAACAGTCTCTTTCAGTTCTCAGAGAACTCTTCTTCTCCCTCCCTCATGGAATGAACTTCATCTTTTTCATTTACATTATTAATCACCTTTAACACTCCCATAACAGTCTGTCTCATATGAAAATTTTACTTTCTAACAGAGATTCGGCCAGACTGGTTCATAAGGCAAAAAAAAAAAAGAAGAAAAAAGAAAATGCGGTACAGGGATTCTACAAAAATCAAGGCCTTGAAAAAATACGCACAGTAGTGTTGTTTTAGATGAACACAGAATGTGTGTAAATGTTATAGGAAAAACTGGGCAGGGGAGAGGAGGAGAAAGCACAGAAGGCCCCTCCACCTCAACAATTGGAACCTGATCCAATGAAAGTGTGGTCACTTGGTCATTCAGTCCTGATTGCTTAATGAAAGTGTGCAAATCAGCAGATATTATGCCTGAACGTTCCAAATGTCCCTAATTATGACCAAGCAGATGAAGGCCTTAAAAATCACACTTCACCCTATTTGAAAGGGTTGCTGGCACATCATTAATTAAAATACCTCAGCTCCCAAATACATTAGAAGCATGATAATTATCTTCATACAAAATGTGCTTTAAAACACTTGAAATACTTCAAACTCTAGGGTGACAACAGAATATAAACAAAAAGACCATGCATTAAGGCTCCTGTCCATTACTGTGTTGCTGCAGACAAAGTTAACAGCTCCCCACTTTGGGAATAAGAAGCATTGACAGCCCTAGAAAGAAATGTGGCAATTATCCTGATTATTATTATAATAATATTAGCACCACGTAACTTTTCTTGAGACATTACCATATGCCATGCACTATGCTAAGTGTTTTTGTACCTGCCCCAAGCTCAGAGAGACTGAGTAACTTGCCAAAGGTCACCCAGCCAGAATGTTTCAGAGCAGAGAATTAAATTCAGGTCTGTCTGGCTGCTCCAAAATCTATACTGTTTGTTAGTCACTACAACGCCACCAAAGAGGCCATGTCAAAAGAGGGGAGGAGGCAGGAAAGAGAAGGAGTTGACAATTGCAAACGTTTTCCCAGAGTTCATTTACAAGATTAAAAATGGTCAAAACCACAGAAGTTGAATGTTGAACCACTAGAGAAGCCCAAACAGAATTCCAAAGATTCCCTAAACAGGTTACAGAAAACTTGCCTTCTCTTCCAAGACTGGTAAAATTTGAACAAAAAGAAATGGCAAATCTGTAGCATGAGGAAAGAGTGATTCATCAGGAAGGTACCTAACTGAGGAGAGGCAGTGGAGCCACATGGGTACCCACTTTCATCTAGTTACCCAACCAATATGAATCGTATGCCTACCATGTGCCAGGTGCCTACCTACTGCCCTGGTCTCGGGCCTCCATGTGCTTGAGGGCAACCATAAAACCCTAAAGGAGGAAAACAACCTGTGTACAGAACCTGTGAAGGGCAAATGAGCAGGACTGACAGGATCTACTTCAGGAATGCTCAGTTCTAGTGTTCTCCAACTCAGGAGGAGACTTCTCAATTGAAGAACCACCCCCACTCCAATCCTGAATTTAGTTGTACTATAGTGAGGACAGTATTGACTCCAGAGCATTGAGTTCGAACGACTTATTTTCAATAAACGCAAACTCAGAATCTTTCTTAGAAGGCATTTTCCTAAAGATGAAAACATAGGACACTACTCTGGTTGTGTGACACTAGGGAAAACAGTTCTGAAATTTTACAGCCTCTCCAAGAATAAGAAAGGGCCAGTACTGTTCGTGAAGTTTCAATATGGCCCCACCTCATCTTTGAAAAACTCAAAATTGAAAAACATGCCATGGCCTACTGGAGTCAAATAAATCTGGCTTCAAATCACAGTTTTGCTACTTACTAAGTCTGTAACTTTAAGCAAAGTACTTAACCTCTTTTGGCTCCAATTTCCTCAGTTTCAAAATGGGGATAACCTCCATCCTTCTAGAATCTTATGGACACGAGTGTACTCTTCACCCCAGCTGTGATGCATTCCCTGCCCACAGCCCCCACAAAGGGCACAGGTTATGTTGCCAACCACTGCTCGGGGGCAGCCTTAGACATGATTTCCTGTACCAAAACATACACACACCATCAACCTGCTAGTCACAGGGAATGGAACCTGACAGAATGAGTGATGGGAACCTGATTTAGAAGCAAACAATCCCTAGGCTGGCCTTTAACCTATGATGTGCTCTAATGTCAGAGATAATCATGAATTAGCTCAGCCTTTCAAATTATCCTGGGGATTTGAACTAGGAGGTAAAGCTAGATGGCAGCAGGCAGCAAAGCAGGTAAATCTGAGACACAAGGGCAACTCAGAGAGTAGCAGGCTACAATAACGGCGGACTCCCAGAATGACAGTCCACAATCCCTCAGCCTTTTGATTCCAGCCTCTTAGGTGACTAGCTCTCCTCAGCCCTTGCCCTTCCTGAAGCCTAGCTATTCCTTTTTCCTAGGATCTAACAGTAAGCTTCCCACTACCTGAGGTCACAGGAGGGTATCTCTATTCTTTGCAACCAGAGATAAAGTAGGTGGGGAGCCTACACCCACCTGTGAAAGAGGCCATGAGGAGGCAGAAAGCCATTTACCAAGCTGCTTTGTTGGACTTCACTGAAAAGACCGGGAGGGAGAAATGACATGACCCATCTAACTGAGAAGGGCTCAAGATGCCTCTCACAGAGACAGGCTACCAGAGGAAGCAACCAGAGGGCAGGTGGAGGGTAGAACACCCCAGTTACAATAAGTATAGGATAACTTTAAGAAGTTCCATGAAGTGAAACACCAAATAAAGTCCAGAAGCTCTCATACTTTTGCCACAATTTGTAGCCTCAGCTGAAGGGGGGGAAAATATTATTCTAACACTTCTTAAGACTGAAACAAAGCCAAATGTTGCTGGTTTTCTCCTTGAGATAAGGTTCCATTAAGGAATGAAAAAAGAAAGACTATTCAACACCCTCCAAACAAAAACCAAACGACAACAGTGAAAAAACCTAAAAGCAAAGTTTCCCTCTGCTCCCCCATCCAAATACATAATTTAAAAAATGACAGTCAAAATAACAAGCAGTATCAATCCTGCAGGAGCCATTACATGAAGCCTTACCCAATGCTCACCTCCTCCTAGCCTGGCCTCCAATCCTATGCCAGCTTTTCTGGAGCACCTTTGGGGTCCCTTTCCATGTATCATTTATTTTATTACCTAGCTTCCAACCAAAATTTGTTCCACTTCGTGTTTTCTGGTTTAAATAAATGAGTTCTATATTTCGACAGAACGGACAATGGGTTTCAGCAGATACCCATGATGTACATTTCATAGCTATCTACTTCAGCGCCTTTCTCAAATTTGCATATAACAGAAAATTTGTTTACCATAGATTTTAAAGAGGCAGTAGAGGAGCACTACTGCATAAATCAAAGCTGGGAGTGAAACAGGGGTACTCTAACAGGCCAAGGCATAATTTATCCAGATTTATTTTTCGTCAGACCACTACTCAACTGGCCATGAAAATTACTGTTCCTATTAGCTCTTCCTTCAGTCACCAAAAGAACCAAGCAGCTGCTGTATTGACAAAGTATTCACTTCTCACAGAGGTGGGGAGAAGCAGAAAAACTCAGATCTGAAGCCACTGGCCTGGGTCCATTCAATAAGCTATGAGAAATACCTGAGATAACGCTTGGGCTTCTGTTTGGAGCTACACGGTTTTTATTCTACTCTCTCACTGTACAAAATTCAATACCTTCCTGGCATTGAGTGGCAATAGCCCAAGGTGATAAGCAGTGAATCACAACCAACTTCATTGAGTGGTTTTTTGCAGCCTATAAATAAAATCAGAATCTTTGAAGCTAGTAAACCTTGTGAGGTCTGAGTATCTCAAGGTTATTCATTTCTGAACCTCTCTGGAAAGAGTATAAACACAATCAAAAGAACTATGGTTTATGATTCACAGAATTTCTTCATGCACAGAAATTCACCTTTTAATTATCAGAGCATTATACTGAAGCATTGCAGACCTTTAACTTCTCAGCCCCTGTGTTACCAATAAAAATAATAACAATAATAAAGTCAATTTTCCAGCAGTTAAGAAGTACAAAGGTGCCCTCTCCCTCTCCCTCTCCCTCTCTCTCTCGCTCTCGCTCTCCCCACGGTCTCCCTCTCCCTCTCTTTAAACGGTCTCCCTCTGATGCCGAGCCGAAGCTGGACGGTACTGCTGCCATCTCGGCTCACTGCAACCTCCCTGCCTGATTCTCCTGCCTCAGCCTGCCGAGTGCCTGCGACTGCAGGTGTGCGCCGCCACGCCTGACTGGTTTTCATATTTTTTTGGTGGAGACGGGGTTTCGCTGTGTTGGCCGGGCTGGTCTCCAGCTCCTAACCGCGAGTGATCTGCCAGCCTCGGCCTCCCGAGGTGCCGGGATTGCAGACGGAGTCTCGTTCACTCAGTGCTCAATGGTGCCCAGGCTGGAGTGCAGTGGCGTGATCTCGGCTCGCTACAACCTCCACCTCCCAGCAGCCTGCCTTGGCCTCCCAGGGTGCCGAGATTGCAGCCTCTGCCCGGCCGCCACCCCGTCTGGGAAGTGAGGAGCGTCTCTGCCCGGCCGCCCATCGTCTGGGATGTGAGGAGCCCCTCTGCCTGGCTGCCCAGTCTGGAAAGTGAGGAGTGTCTCTGCCCGGCCGCCATCCCATCTAGGAAGTGAGGAGCACCTCTTCCCAGCCGCCATCCCATCTGGGAAGTGAGGAGCGTCTCTGCCCGGCCGCCCATTGTCTGAGATGTGGGGAGCGCCTCTGCCCTGCCGCCCCGTCCGGGATGTGAGGAGCGTCTCTGCCCGGCCGCCCCATCTGAGAGGTGAGGAGACCCTCTGCCCGGCAACCGCCCCGTCTGAGAAGTGAAGAGCCCCTCCGCCCGGCAGCCGCCCCATCTGAGAAGTGAGGAGCCCCTCCGCCCAGCAGCCGCCCCGTCTGGGAAGTGAGGAGCGTCTCCGCCCGGCAGCCACCTCGTCCGGGAGGGAGGAGGGGGGGTCAGCCCCCCGCCCGGCCAGCCGCCCCGTCCGGGAGGGAGGTGGGGGGATCAGCCCCTCGCCCGGCCAGCCGCCCCGTCCGGGAGGTGAGGGGCGCCTCTGCCCGGCCGCCCCTACTGGGAAGTGAGTAGCCCCTCTGCCTGGCCGGCCGCCCCGTCCGGGAGGGAGGTGGGGGGGTCAGCCCCCCGCCCGGCCAGCCGCCTCATCCGGGAGGGAGGTGGGGGGGTCAGCCCCCCGCCCGGCCAGCCACCCCGGTCCGGGAGGGAGGTGGGGGGGTCAGCCCCCCGCCCGGCCAGCCGCCTCGTCTGGGAGGTGAGGGGCGCCTCTGCCCGGCCGCCCCTACTGGGAAGTGAGGAGCTCCTCTGCCCGGCCACCACCCCGTCTGGGAGGTGTACCCAACAGCTCATTGAGAATGGGCCATGATGACAATGGCGGTTTTGTGGAATAGAAAGGGGGGAAGGGTGGGGAAGAGATTGAGAAATCGGATGGTTGCCGTGTCTGTGTGGAAAGAGGTAGACATGGGAGACTTTTCATTTTGTTCTGTACTATGAAAAATTCTTCTGCCTTGGGATCCTGTTGAACTGTGACCTTACCCCCAACCCTGTGCTATCTGAAACATGTGCTGTATCCACTCAGGGTTGAATGGATTAAGGGCGGTGCAAGATGTGCTTTGTTAAACAGATGCTTGAAGGCAGCATGCTCCTTAAGAGTCATCACCACTCCCTAATCTCAAGTACCCAGGGACACAAACACTGCGGAAGGCCGCAGGGTCCTCTGCCTAGGAAAACCAGAGACCTTTGTTCACTTGTTTAACTGCTGACCTTCCCTCCAATATTGTCCTGTGACCCTGCCAAATCCCCCTCTGCGAGAAACACCCAAGAATGATCAATAAAAAATTAAAAATGAAAAAAAAAAAAAAAGAAGTACAAAGGTGAGCAGCAAAACATTAGCTTCAGGAAAACACTACAGATCTAAATTGTTTTTAAAATGATTAAATTGATTAAATGGAAAGAATAAATGTAATTCCTCATTATGCCACAATGAAATTTCAAAACAGTTATTCAACAAATGGCAAACACCTCTTTAGAAATCTGGGTAATTTGAAGTGGGGATTTTCAATTTGTTGGGGGCATCTGCCAAGACCCCCTTCTCTGTCCCCCAATACTTCCAATTCAAGGATGAGATCTGGCACTGCCATTTTGGCATCAGATGAGCCTGGCTGCTCTACCTCCCACCTTTGCTGGGCAAAAAATGGGCTGAGTCAATCCGATTTTTCCTCTCAGGAATTGAAAATACAATTGGAAAATGCTCAATGTGTTTCTCAAGTTGCTTCAATAACTGAGACATAAACTCAGAAGCTATAGTGCAGCCTGGTTTAGCCATGTGGAGTGAAAGCCAGTTTAGTGAGAGAAAGAAAGAAAACAGAATAGGGTGCTGAGCTAGCATTCTAATTCCTGATGTAAAATCTTCCTTAGGCCCAGCTGAGCCTGAGTTCCATAACCTATTAGAATTCTTTCAGTAAATTTTCCTTTTTGTTTAATTTAGAAGATTTCTCTTAATTTCAGTCTATTTTAATCAGGGCTGGAGTCACATAAGTATGGGATGAGAGGTAAGCAATGCTAGAATGATCTTTCTGCAAGTGAAAATAAAATAAGATAATCATCAAAATTCAGAGCCAGAAAGCCCTTTGATCAAAAGAGATGGAGCTGACGCACCATTTGAGAATTTGATTCCTATTTCTGTCATGTATTTATTATAGTATCTTAGTTCAAAACCAAAGAGCCTCAAGTTTCTACATGTCGAACAGGCAACACTTCCTTTCCAAAGGCATTTCCTGCTGTCCTCCCTGCCCCCAACCATACTGATACTCAGCAGGTGTCTCTTGCATCTTCCCTCAAGTGTTAATTTGCTCATGTTTAGCTTCTTCTCAGAAGCCTACAATGGTTTCCAACTGCTTCATATGTCAAATTAAAACTGATAAAGTGCTTCAACCTTTAGTTCTGCATTATCTAACCACTGTTGTTACCCATTATGCCTAGTTCAGTCCTAGCATCAGCCCTCTGTTCACCACCCATGGCTACAAGACTCCCACTTTAAGTTGAGAGCACAGCAGCTGCTGGTGCCTCCTCTCAGAAATGGCACATGAAGAGTAAAGAAGAGGAATCTTGGAGTCTAGACACTTCGATACCAGTCCTGATTCTTTTATTAACCTGTCATCATTTAATTTCTACAGGCCTGACTTCTCTATAAAATGAAGATGCTGAGGTTTGACCACTGGATTTCAGCTTTTTTCCTGCCCCAAATCATCTAAGAGGGATGGCAAGGACACATGAAAGATTAAGTAACAACTTTTTTTTTTTTTTTTGAGACAGATTCTCACTCTGTCACCCAGGCTGGAGAGCAGTGGCACAATCTTGGCTCACTGCAACCTCCGCCTCCCGGGTTCAAGTGATTCTCCTGCCTCAGCCTCCCAAGTAGCTGGGATTACAGGCGCGTGCCACCACGCCCAGCTAATTTTTTGTAGAGACAGGGTTTCACTGTGTTAGCCAGGATGGTCTCGATCTCCTGACCTCATGATCTGCCCGCCTCGGTCTCCCAAAGTGCTGGGATTACAGGTGTGAGCCACCACGCCTGGCCAATAATAACATTTTTAAAAAACAGAACAAAATATGTCACATCAACTGAGTAAAAAAATAGCCAGAAAGACATTGCTGTTGGCTTGGATGGCATCACAGCAGAGGTAGAACTTGGCTAAACTATGAAGGAAAAGAAGGACATGGATCAATGGAAGGGCTGCACTTATGTCAATTAAGCTTTCATTTACTTTTGTGTTGGTTGTTCACAAATAGTATTAATAGATCATTGGAAGAAACATATATTAAGAGACTGGACTGGAAAGGAAGAAACTATTCTAAACACTTACCAAACACATATTGAGAAGGTTCTTGATAAGGCTAAGGATAGGGCTAAAGGAGAAACTCAAAGACAAATGGACATAATCCACCACAGTCTAACCTCTGAGGGCAAGGACCATATCTGCTTTGCTCACACTGTGCTCCCAACCCCTAAGAGCACCTTGCAACAAATAAATATTTGTTGAAAGAATACAAAAACATAGCCCCTACCTTTAAAAACTTATGATTGTTTAAAGAAAAAAAAACAGAGAACAAAAGAGAGTATGTTGTCCATTCCCTTCGGGATCCCTAATAAGCCCGGCATCAATTTCACTTATGGGGAGCCCTCCAGGGGATAATAGAGGGAGGAATGTAAACTTCACACAATAACCATTTTATACAATAAATGAACAAATTCCACTGTGTCAGCAAGTAAACAAATCTGTCACTTGACTCATTCTCTATGCTTACCATTAGCTGAGAATGAGCCTTTTAATAGAAAAGAATAAGTCACTCCACAATGTTAAGCCCAAAAAAAACCCTGAAATATACATTAATTTACTTCAAAATGCCACCTCTTCTTAAGTTGATTTTCTCCTGCAACCGCCTCAACCACAGGCAATTATGTCACATGTGCCAGATCCATGTGGTCCAAATGACAGCCCCCCTAACCAAATGTATTACCATAGCAACAAAGGGACTGCATTTGCCATTCTCTAACTGCCAGGGCCTGATCAATTATTTAACATGCCTATACTACAGTGACAGTGTATAAATGATCATGTTCATTAGCAGCAAGAGTCAGCTCTCAGAAAATCACAAACCCCTGACAGCTAAATTGATCACAAAACCAAACACACTCTCCTTGACGGTGATGTTAAAGATCACAGTGTAAAGGGATGGAAGGAGAACAAACTGTTCTTAGTTTTAAGCTTCCACTTTAGAACTGCATTAGCATTCACTCTCCCAAGATCTTATTGTGAAAAAAGGAAGAAAGAATGAAAGAAAAAAGACACACAAATTGATTTTATACAAGCAACACGTTATCAAAAGTTGCTGAAAATAATATGATTAGATGAGAAGATTGGAAAGCCAAAGGACAAAATTTGTCTTAAGCTTGTTTGATGGTTTTGGGTTTTGTTTTTCTTCTGTTCCACTTCTGGGTTATTTCTCATTAGAAGAATAGGCAGGGAAGTGAAAAATTGGATACTGAAGGGAATTCACAGTAGGCAGCAGCCAGCAGTGACTGTCCTCTCTCCCAACCTGGTTAAACCTCCACTGACTTTCCACAGGGAGATTCCTGAACAGAGAACAACTGAGGATGTCCATTTGGTTCTGTGAGAAAGGAGAAATCATTTCATCAAGAATTAACCAGAGATTGAGTTCAGTCCAGGACTCTGACAATTCACTACACAAAACTTCAAAGCCAATACAACTAAAACAAACAATTCTATTTCACGAGCTGAATCCAGGAAGGGATTAAAGTCGGTTAGAGTGGCCCCCATACCCTGTATCCACAGTGATCCAGAAACTGGATCAGCACTGAAGGCTGGAATCAGCACTGGGGCTAGAAGGAAGGGCAAATAAATGGCTTTTTTACTCACTTCATTGTGTTCTTTCATGGAGGAAAGAGAGAAAAAGGGGACAGCCTGCCTAAAGATTCTTATTGATTTATAATAGATCATAGAGTGATAGTGAAAGTTTCAGACATCTAAGAGTTTTTATTTTGCTAAAAATAACCAACATCAGCCAGGCATGGTAGCTCACACCTGTAATCCCAGCACTTTGGGAGGTCGAAGTGGGAGGGTCACTTGAGCCTAGGAGTTTGAGACCAGACTGGGCAACATGGGGAGACCCCATCTCCACAAAAAATTTTAAAAATTAGCCAGGCATGGTGGCACATGTGTGTGGTCCCAGCTACTTGGGAGGGTGAGGTGGGAGGATCACTTGAACCTGGGAGGCCAAGGCTGCAGTGAGCTGTGATCATGCCACTGCACTCCAGTCTGTGGGACAGAGCAAGACCCTGTCTTGAATAAATAAATAAAAAAATACATACATACATACATACATACATACATACATACATACATACATACAAACTGACATACCCGGAAAGGAAGCCTCCAATTTACTGACAAATTAGAAGGCAGATATAACAGTCCGAATAACCCATTCTTATACAAGGTTCCTATGATACTGTTCTAGGTATAGTCCTTGGTCTTTGTGCTTTACCAAGATCTAGCTTCCTACAAGCTACAGCTATCAGACCCTGATTAGACCGCAGAGACGACTAAATAATTTATGAAAAGTGTAGTTTTCCAGTATAGTAGTCCTTCCATCACAGATATTAATTGTTGTTATGGTAAATGCAAGAAAACCTCTTAAAAGGTTATGATATACATTTATTTCACTGTTCATATGGACAAGAATATGAAAAAAATTATTAAATATTCATCCAAAATGACTGTTCCTCCCTTAAAATCCACCTTCCCCAAGAAAAGAATCACAAACACTTAAAATAAAATCTAGGGTAGCCTACATACCACAAATTGCTTCTCTAAGTGGATAAATTGTTACATAAAGAAGCTAAGCATTTACAAACACTTCATGCAGTGGTATAATTTTATTTATACACACATAAAATAAAAACATGCACCTCAGGGATCATTTACACAACTAAATGTCTTTCTGATTACCATATACAAAAGCTCAAGACAGATAACCTCTCACATCTGACAATACATAGGACATGTGTTATAACCACTGTTCTGTTTCCATAATTGAGTGAATACCTTTAAACAATCGGTCAAATATCTGACTCCCATTTTCAATCTTGCAACATGCATGCAAATACATGTTTACAATATATTACAGAACCCATGGAGAACACTAAGTTCTAAGAAAGCCTTTTTGAAGTTTTTGTTCTTTATACTTCTCTACTCTAATAATTTTAGTTACTAGTATAATAGTAACAATCCATGAATGACATTTAGAAGCAAAGTGAATTTTCCTCTGCCAGCTGACGAGGACTTCATGGCTGCTGGTCACAGTACTCACTCTACCTTCTTGTTAATAGTAGTTACTGTCATTTGTCACTGAACTAAAAATTAGAATATATTATGTAAAGCTAAAAGTAATGTTATACATATTTGTCTTGAATTTTGTTTATAAATTATTTCTACCACTTGCACTCAAGTAAAGATTAAACAACAGAAGTAATATACATCACAGTACAGTTTTTAATAATAAAAAATTATAAACTTAAAAATGTCCAACAATGGCAAAGTGATTCCATATGATTTATGGAACATTCATAGAATATACCACTACTAAAAATGGCACAAGACCAAAATAATCAAAGTAGATCAATAGAACAGAAAGAGTCACAGAAACAGACTCCCACACACACAATCAGGATTTTCAATAAAGGCACCAACACAATACAACAAGGGAAGAAAAATCTTCTCAACAAATGGAGCTGGAATAACTAGATATCCATATGGAGTGATATTAACCTTGACTTCTGGCTAACATCACTCAAAAAAACTGACTTGAGATATAATATAGATAACATAAAAGCTAAAACCATAATGCTTTCAGAGGAAAACACAGGAGAATATCATCTTGACATGTGGCAACAGGCCACAGAAAGCAATAATATAAGAAAAATAGTAAAGATTACTTTATCAAAATTAAAAACTTCTCATTAAAGATATGGTTAGTAAAGAGAATAGGCAAGTCACAAAATGGGAATAAAGATCCGCAAAACATACATCTGACAAAGAACTGGTATCTGAATTTAGAACTCTTAACAGCTCAACCCAGTTTATAAATAGAAAAAAGATGTAACTAGACACTTCAAAAAAGAGGATATACGAATGGCCACTAAGTGCTTGAAATAGGCTCAATATCATTATGCCACTACCCACCAACCAGAATGACCAAAGTTTAAAAACTGACAACCCCAGGATATGGAGCAACAGAATTCTTATACATTATGAGTGGGAATGTAAAATAAAAAAACCACTTTGAAAACAGGCCTGTCAGTTTCTTACAAAAGGTAAACATAAACCTCCTCTATGATCAAGCCATTCCATTCCTGGGTATTTACCCAAAAGAAACAGATATAGAAATATAAACACACATATATAAATGTGGATGTGTATATATACATATTCACATATACACTTACTATACACACACACACACATATCCACAAAAAGACTTGTAGAAGAATGTTCCATAGCAGCTTTTTTCTTAATAGCTAAAAGATGAAAATACCCCCAGATGTCTATCAATAAAATAAGGAAACTGTGATTCATACAATGAAATAGTACTCAGCAATAAAAAAAAAGCTACTAAAACACAACAACCTGAATGAATCTCAAAAACATTATGATGAGTGAAAGAACCACCACATAAAGAAGTACATATTGTATGATTTCAATTACATAAAATCATAGAACAAGCAAAACTAACCTATGGTGGAAAAAATTGTAATAGCGGTTGTCTTTGGAAGGGTGGGAGGTAGGGATTGACTGGGAAGGGTCAGAAGGGAACCTTCCAGGGTGATGATGATGTTATATAATCTATATTATGACAGACTTTGGATTATGCAGGTGTATGTGTTTATTAAAATTCAGCAAATATATAATTAAGATGTACGCATTTCATTTGAGTACAAATTTTGTATCAAAAGAAAAACTAAATAAATATTGAGTTCATGTTAATGATAGATATGCTGAAGAACTTAGAGGATATTTGCAATTTACTTTGAAAGGTATCAAAAAATTAAGATGCAGCTAGGTGCGGTGGCTCGAGCCTTTGGGAGGATAAAGTGGGAGAACTGGAGGCCAGGAGTTTGAGACCTCGAGACCAGCCTGGACAACATATCGATGTTTTGCAGATTGACAATTTTTTGTCACAATAAAAACAGTTTTAAAAAATTAGCTGGGCATGGTGGCGCATGCCTGCAGTCCCAGGTATTCGGGAGGCTAAGGTATGAGGATCACTTGAGCTCAGGAGTTCAAGGTGGCAGTGAGCCATGATTGCACCACCGCATTCAAACGAAAGAAAGGGGAGGGGAGGGGAGGAAAGGGAAAGAAGGAAGGGAGGGAGGGAGGGAGGGAGGGAGGGAAATGGATAGTTATGTGACAAAGCAAGTATAGAACAATGTTAATGGTAGAATTTGGATGATGGGTTAGGTCTTTCTTTACTATAAAATTCCTTCAACTTTGCTCTATGTTTGAAATTTTTCATGATAAAATATTGAAAACCATAGTATGAGAAGAATATCTGCTGAAATGTAGAGTATATGAAAACATATAGTCATATGTTGTTTAACAATGGGCTACATTCTGAGAAACGCATCCTTACATGATTTTGTCATTGTGAAAATATCATAGAGTATACTTTCATAAACCTAGATAGTACAGTATACTACACACCTAGACTATCTGGTATAGCCTATTGCTCCTAGGCTACAAACCTGTACAGCATGGTAGTAATGAATATTGCAGGCAACTGTAACATGATGGTAAATATTTGTGTATCTAAAGCTATCTAAACATAGAAAAGGTACAAACACAGTATGAAAAATAAAAAATCATACACCTGCTTAGGGCACTTACCATGAATAGAGCTTGCAGGACTGAAAGTTGCTCTGGGTGTGTCAGTGAGTGGTGAGTGAATGTGAAGGCCTAGGACATGACTGTACACTGCTATAGACTTTATAAATACTGTACATCTAGGCTACACTAAATTTATTCTTAAAATATTTTCTTTCTTCAATAATAAATTAACCTTAGCTTACTATAACTTTTTTACTGTATAAACTTTTTAATTTTTTGAACTTTTTGACTCTCTGTATTAACACTTTGCCTAAAACACAGATTGTACAGCTGTACAAAAATATTTTCTTTATTTATATCCTTATTCTATAAGCTTTTTTGGATTTTTAATGTTTTTTATTTATTTTAATTTTAAAACTTTTTTGTTAAAAGCTAAGACACAAACACACACGTTAGCCTAGGCTTGCACATGGTCAGAATCATCAGAACATCACTAGAAGGTAGCAATTTTTCAGGTCCATTATAATCTTAGGGGACCACAGTTCTACATTCCATCTATCATTGACCAAGGCATCTTTATGCAGTGCATGAATATATATATGGCAGGATATAAAACAGCATCTACAAAATAACCACATTTAAGTTTTATAAAGGTAAAAATATGCACAGAAAAAGGGCTGGGAAGACAACCAAAGTCGCCATATTGCTGCATTTAATGAATATATATTTTTTTAAATTTATCATTATTATTATTATACTTTAAGTTTTAGGGTACATGTGCACAATGTGCAGGTTAGTTACATATGTATACATGTGCCATGCTGGTGTGCTGCACCCATTAACTCATCATTTAGCATTAGGTATATCTCCTAAAGCTATGCCTCCCCCCTCCCCCAACCCCACAACAGTCCCCAGATGTGATGTTCCCCTTCCTGTGTCCATGTGTTCTCATTGTTCAATTCCCGCCTATGAGTGAGAATATGCGGTGTTTGGTTTTTTGTTCTTGCGATAGTTTACTGAGAATGATGATTTCCAATTTCATCCATGTCCCTACAAAGGACACGAACTCATCATTTTTTATGGCTGCATAGTATTCCATGGTGCATATGTGCCACATTTTCTTAATCCAGTCTATCATTGTTGGACATTTGGGTTGGTTCCAAGTCTTTGCTATTGAGAATAGTGCCGCAATAAACATACGTGTGCATGTGTCTTTATGGCAGCATGATTTATAGTCCTTTGGGTATATACCCAGTAATGGGATGGCTGGGTCAAATGGTATTTCTAGTTCTAGATCCCTGAGGAATCACCACACTGACTTCCACAATGGTTGAACTAGTTTACAGTCCCACCAACAGTGGAAAAGTGTTCCTATTTCTCCATATCCTCTCCAGCACCTGTTGTTTCCTGACTTTTGAATGATTGCCATTCTAACTGGTGTGAGATGGTATCTCATTGTGGTTTTGATTTGCATTTCTCTGATAGCCAGTAATGGTGAGCATTTTTTCATGTGTCTTTTGGCTGCATAAATGTCTTCTTTTGGTAAGTGTCTGTTCCTGTCCTTTGCCCACTTTTTGATGGGGTTGTTTGTTTTTTTCTTGTAAATTTGTTTGAGTTCATTGTAGATTCTGGATATTAGCCCTTTGTCAGATGAGTAGGTTGCAAAAATTTTATCCCATTTTGTAGGTTGCCTGTTCACTCTGATGGTAGTTTCTTTTGCTGTGCAGAAGCTCTTGAGTTTAATTAGATCCCATTTGTCAATTTTGGCTTTTGCTGCCATTGCTTTTGGTGTTTTAGACATGAAGTCCTTGCCCATGCCTATGTCCTGAATGGTAATGCCTAGGTTTTCTTCTAGGGTTTTTATGGTTTTAGGTCTAACGTTTAAGTCTTTAATCCATCTTGAATTAATTTTTGTATAAGGTGTAAGGAAGGGATCCAGTTTCAGCTTTCTACATATGGCTAGCCAGTTTTCCCAGCACCATTTATTAAATAGGGAATCCTTTCCCCATTGCTTGTTTTTGTCAGGTTTGTCAAAGATCAAACAGTTGTAGACATGCGGCGTTATTTCTGAGGGCTCTGTTCTCTTCCATTGATCTACATCTCTGTTTTGGTACCAGTACCATGCTGTTTTGGTTACTGTAGCCTTGTAGTATAGTTTGAAGTCAGGTAGTGTGATGCCTCCAGCTTTGTTCTTTTGGCCTAGGATTGACTTGGCGATGTGGGCTCTTTTTTTGGTGCCATATGAACTTTAAAGTAGTTTTTTCCAATTCTGTGAAGAAAGTCATTGGTAGCTTGATGGGGATGGCACTGAATCTATAAATTACCTTGGGCAGTATGGCCATTTTCACGATATTGATTCTTCCTACCCATGAGTATGGAATGTTCTTCCATTTGTTTGTATCCTCTTTTATTTCCTTGAGCAGTGGTTTGTAGTTCTCCTTGAAGAGGTCCTTCACATCCCTTGTAAGTTGGATTCCTAGGTATTTTATTCTCTTTGAAGCAATTGTGAATGGGAGTTCACTCATGATTTGGCTCTCTGTCTGTTATTGGTGTATAAGAATGCTTGTGATTTTTGTACATTGATTTTGTATCCTGAGACTTTGCTGAAGTTGCTATCAGCTTAAGGAGATTTAGGGCTGAAACAATGGGGTTTTCTAGATATACAATCATGTCATCTGCAAACAGGGATAATTTGACTTCCTCTTTTCCTAATTGAATACCCTTTATTTCCTTCTCCTGCCTAATTGCCCTGGCCAGAACTTCCAACACTATTTTGAATAGGAGTGGTGAGAGAGGGCATCCCTGTCTTGTGCCACTTTTCAAAGGGAATGCTTCCAGTTTTTGCCCATTCAGTATGATATTGGCTGTGGGTTTGTCATAGATAGCTCTTATTATTTTGAGATATGTCCCATCAATACCTAATTTATTGAGAGTTTTTAGCATGAAGGTTGTTGAATTTTGTCAAAGGCCTTTTCTGCATCTATTGAGATAATCATGTGGTTTTTGTCTTTGGTTCTGTTTATATGTTGGATTACATTTATTGATTTGCATATATTGAACCAGTCTTGCATCCCAGGGATGAAGCCCACTTGATCATGGTGGATAAGCTTTTTGATGTGCTGCTGGATTCAGTTTGCCAGTATTTTATTGAGGATTTTTGCATCAATGTTCATCAAGGATATTGGTCTAAAATTCTCTTTTTTGGTTGTGTCTCTGCCTGGCTTTGGTATCAGGTTGATGCTGGCCTCATAAAATGAGTTAGGGAGGATTCCCTCTTTTTCTATTGATTGGAATATTTTCAGAAGGAATGATACCAGTTCCTCCTTGTACCTCTGGTAGAATTCGGCTGTGAATCCATCTGGTCCTGGACTCTTTTTGGTTGGTAAGCTATTGATTATTGCCATAATTTCAGAGCCTGTTATTGGTCTATTCAGAGATTCAACTTCTTCCTGGTTTAGTCTTCGGAGGATGTATGTGTCGAGGAATTTATCCATTTCTTCTAGATTTTCTAGTTTATTTGCATAGAGGTGTTTGTAGTATTCTCTGATAGTAGTTTGTATTTCAGTGGGATCGGTGGTGATATGCCCTTTACCATTTTTTATTGTGTCTATTTGATTCTTCTCTCTTTTCTTCTTTATTAGTCTTGCTAGCGGTCTATCAATTTTGTTGATCCTTTCAAAAAACCAGCTCCTGGATTCATTAATTTTTTGAAGGGTTTTTTGTGTCTCTATTTCCTTCAGTTCTGCTCTGATTTTAGTTATTTCTTGCCTTCTGCTAGCTTTTGAATGTGTTTGCTCTTGCTTCTCTAGTTCTTTTAATTGTGATGTTAGGGTGTCAATTTTGGATCTTTCCTGCTTTCTCTTGTGGGCATTTAGTGCTATAAATTTCCCTCTACACACTGCTTTGAATGTGTCCCAGAGATTCTGGTATGCTGTGTCTTTGTTCTCATTGGTTTCAAAGAACATCTTTATTTCTGCCTTCATTTCGTTATGTACCCAGTAGTCATTCAGGAGCAAGTTGTTCAGTTTCCATGTAGTTGATTGGTTTTGAGTGAGTTTCTTAATCCTGAGTTCTAATTTGATTGCACTGTGGTCTGAGAGACAGTTTGTTACAATGTCTGATCTTTTACATTTGCTGAGGAGAGCTTTACTTCCAACTATGTGGTCAATTTTGGAATATGTGTGGTGTGGTGCTGAAAAAAATGTATATTCTGTTGATTTGGGGTGGAGAGTTCTGTAGATGTCTATTAGGTCCGCTTGGTGCAGAGCTGAGTTCAATTCCTGGGTATCCTTGTTAACTTTCTGTCTCGTTGATCTGTCTAATGTTGACAGTGGGGTGTTAAAGTCTCCCATTATTATTGTGTGGGAGTCTAAGTCTCTTTGTAGGTCACTCAGGACTTGCTTTATGAATCTGGGTGCTCCTGTATTGGGTGCATATATATTTAGGATAGTTAGCTCTTCTTGTTGAATTGATCCCTTTACCATTATGTCATGGCCTTCTTTCTCTCTTTTGCCCTTTGTTGGTTTAAAGTCTGTTTTATCAGAGACTAGGATTGCAACCCCTGCCTTTTTTTGTTTTCCATTGGCTTGGTAGATCTTCCTCCATCCTTTTATTTTGAGCCTATGTGTGTCTCTGCACATGAGATGGGTTTCCTGAATACAACACACTGATGGGTCTTGACTCTTTATCCAATTTGCCAGTCTGTGTCTTCTAATTGGAGCATTTAGTCCATTTACATTTAAAGTTAATATAGTTATATGTGAATTTGATCCTGTCATTATGATGTTAGTTGGTTATTTTGCTCATTAGTTGATGCAGTTTCTTCCTAGCCTCGATGGTCTTTACAATTTGGCATGATTTTGCAGTGGCTGGTACTGATTGTTCCTTTACATGTTTAGTGCTTCCTTCAGGAGCTCTTTTAGGGCAAGCCTGGTGGTGACAAAATCTCTCAGCATTTGCTTGTCTGTAAAGGACTTTATTTCTCCTTCACTTATGAAGCTTAGTTTGGCTGGATATGAAATTCTGGGTTGAAAATTCTTTTCTTTAAGAATGTTGAATATTGGCCCCCACTCTCTTCTGGCTTGTAGAGTTTCTGCCGAGAGATCCGCTGTTAGTCTGATGGGCTTCCCTTTGAGGGTAACCTGACCTTTCTCTCTGGCTGCCCTTAACATTTTTTCCTTCATTTCAACTTTGGTGAATCTGACAATTATGTGTCTTGGAGTTGCTTTTCTCGAGGAGTATCTTTGTGGCGTTCTCTGTATTTCCTGAATTTGAATGTTGGCCTGCCTTGCTAGATTGGGAAAGCTCTCCTGGATAATATCCTGCACAGTGTTTTCCAACTTGGTTCCATTCTCCCCATCACTTTCAGGTACACCAATCAGCGGTAGACTTGGTCTTTTCACATAGTCCCATATTTCTTGGAGGCTTTGTTCATTTCTTTTTATTCTTTTTTCTCTAAACTTCCCTTCTCACTTCATTTCATTCATTTCATCTTCCATCACTGATACCCTTTCTTCCAGTTGATCGCATCGGCTCCTGAGGCTTCTGCATTCTTCACGTAGTTCTCGAGCCTTGGCTTTCAGCTCCATCAGCTCCTTTAAGCACTTCTCTGTATTGGTTATTCCAGTTATACAGTCGTCTAAATTTTTTTCAAAGTTTTCAACTTCTTTGCCTTTGGTTTGAATTTCCTCCTGTAGCTCGGAGTAGTTTGATCATCTGAAGCCTTCTTCTCTCAACTCGTCAAAGTCATTCTCCGTCCAGCTTTGTTCCGTTGCTGGTGAGGAGCTGTGTTCCTTTGGAGGAGGAGCGGCGCTCTGCTTTTTAGAGTTTCCACTTTTTCTGCTCTGTTTTTTCCGCTCTGTTTTTTCCCCATCTTTGTGGTTTTATCTACTTTTGGTCTTTGATGATGGTGATGTACAGATGGGTTTTTGGTGTGGATGTCCTTTCTGTTTGTTAGTTTTCCTTCTAACAGACAGGACCCTCAGCTGCAGGTCTGTTGGAGTTTGCTAGAGGTCCACTCCAGACCCTGTTTGCCTGGGTACCAGCAGTGGTGGCTGCAGAAGAGCGGATTTTCGTGATCCACGAATGCTGCTGTCTGATCGTTCCTCTGGAAGTTTTGTCTCAGAGGAGTACCCGGCCGTGTGAGGTGTCAGTCTGCCCCTACTAGGGGGTGCCTCCCAGTTAGGCTGCTCGGGGGTCAGGGGTCAGGGACCCACTTGAGGAGGCAGTCTGCCCATTCTCAGATCTCCAGCTGCGTGCTGGGAGAACCACTGCTCTCTTCAAAGCTGTCAGACAAGGACATTTAAGCCTGCAGAGGTTACTGCTGTCTTTTTGTTTGTCTGTGCCCTGCCCCCAGAGGCGGAGCCTACAGAGGCAGGCAGGCCTCCTTGAGCTGTGGTGGGCTCCACCCAGTTCAAGCTTCCTGCCTGCTTTATTTACCTAAGCAAGCCTGGGCAATGGCGGGCGCCCCTCCCCCAGCCTCACTGACACCTTGCAGTTTGATCTCAGACTGCTGTGCTAGCAATCAGCGAGACTCTGTGGGTGTAGGACTCTCCGAGCCATGTGCGGGATATAATCTCCTGGTGCGCCGTTTTTTAAGCCCATGGGAAAAGCGCAGTATTAGGGTGGGAGTGACCCGATTTTCCAGGTGCCGTCTGTCACCCCTTTCTTTGACTAGGAAAGGGAACTCCCTGACCCCTTGCGCTTCCTGAGTGAGGCAGTGCCTTGCCCTGCTTCGGCTCGCGCACGGTGCGCTGCACCCACTGTCCTGCGCCCACTGTCTGGCACTCCCTAGTGAGATGAACCCGGTACCTCAGATGGAAATGCAGAAATCGCCCGTCTTCTGCGTCGCTCACACTAGGAGCTGTAGACCGGAGCGGTTCCTATTCGGCCATCTTGGCTCCACCTCGGGATTGCATTTCATGAATATTTTAACTCTACCCCATGGACGAATAATATATTATCCATTTGTAAAATACCAAAGGACTGATAGTCCCGTGAATTTACCTAGGCCATCTTAATTATAATTTTAGATTGAATAATACATATTATTTCACAGTTTCCAAAGAGCTCTCTGTCTAGTTGGAGCAGCCTAATGGGGATTTGTCATATCAGGCTGGAATTCAGGGTCTCCTTCCATGTTTTCCAGAGTAGCCTGTAAGTAACTCTACCACAGCATTTCCATATTGTTTTGCAATTGTATACTTCCCCCAAAAGATCATAAAGTCTTTAAAGGCAAGAGCTACATCTTGAAATTCAACTTAGTTATCTCTAGAGATTAGTATGGTATCTGTCACATATGGGACAGTCAATAAATGCTAAATGAATAGAAAAATCAATAAATAAACAGCCATTTCAAGAGTCCCAGCAAAGACTCTCAATTCAAAAATGTCTCCTTCATCCAGATTCTACTGTAGCTGAAATTTGATCACTAGAAACTGTTACCTTTAGATTCCTTACTGCTGTTACCAGAAAAACATTTTTAAATGTAAAAGTGAGAAGATAAAACATTAAGTCACTAAAACCCACTGCTAGATTGCTAGCTCCTTGAAGGCAAGAGAAAGGAACCATGTCAACGCTGAATCCCGACTATAGTAAGATCCCTAGGACAGATGAGGTTCAAAAAATGCACTCAGTAGAAATCACACATCAAACTGCAAACAGGTTAAGTAAGAGGTTAACATTAAGGGAAGCTGGGTGAAGGGTCTACAAGAACTCTCCATACTATTTTTGCAACTTTTCTGTAAATCTAAAATTATTTCAAAATAAAAAAATCTCTTTTAAAATGCTGATAGGGCCAGGCATGGTAGCTCATGCTTATAAATCCCAGCACTTTGAGAGGCCAAGGTGGGAGGACAGCTTGAGGCCAGGAGTTTGAGACCAGCCTGGGCAACACAGTAAGACCCCCATCTCTACAAAAAATTGAAAAAAATATTAGTGGGCACAGTGGCATGCATCTGTGGTACCAGCTACTCAGGAAGCTGAGGTGGAAGGATCACCTGAACCCAGGAGCTTGAGTCTGTAGTGAGCCATGACTGCACCACTGCACTCCAGCCTGGATGACAGTGAGACCATGACTCCAAAAAAAGAAAAAAAAAATGCTGGCAGGGAGGGTCCCAGGCCATGTGTAAAGTGAGGGAGCTAAAAGCAGCAGGAAGTTTGCAGGCACATGGAAAAGGAAAGGGCCAGAGTAGGAACAGCAATCTCTCCTTCCAGTTTCCAACCCTGTCCAGGACCTGCCATGTTTTAAAGATACTTTAGATTGCAGGAAAATTATTGGGCCTCCCAAAAGGTTCCTGCCCAACAAAGAAAGATAAATCATTCCTTGACCAAGCTGATGTTTCCAATCCAGATCATAATATTCCAGAGAGATATATCGTGGGGGGAAATTAATTTCTTTAAATGTATATATACCTACACACACACACACACACACACACACACAAACATAGAGACAGTATTTTTAACGTACTTTGAGCAGCTCAACGGGAAAGGAATGTGGAATGAACAAAGGAGGCGTCTGAGGTGCAGTCTACCTGAAAGCTAGCCTTCTATTGGTCACCATTATTCCCTGCCCCGACCACTATTTACTTATGTGTCAGCTGAGAATGACAACCGAGGTACATTTCACACAAAAATGAGCTCACAAATGGTGCCCTCGGTCTCCAAGGGCAGAAGTCATATCTGCTAATGTAGTCTGTACCATCCCTGGCTCACTACCCCAGGAAGGTAAAGAACTTGGCCAGGCAAGGTGGCTCACGCCTGTAATCCCAGCACTTTGGGAGGCTGAGGCGGGCGGATCACGAGGTCAGGAGATCGAGACCATCCTGGCTAATGTGATGAAACTCCGTCTCTACTAAAAATACAAAAAAAAATTAACCAGGTGTGGTGGCGGGTGCCTGTAGTCCCAGCTACTTGGGAGGCTGAGGCAGGAGAATGGCGTGAACCCAGGAGGCGGAGGTTGTGATGAGCCGAGATCACGCCACTGCACTCCAGCCTGGGCGACAGAGTGAGACTGTCTCAAAAAAAACAAACAAACAAAAAAAATACTTAATAAATGCTTCCAGTCATGCCAGTGACTGAAAAAGTCAGTTTGCTTCCCAGCTCCTTTACTCTCCTCGAGTAATATTTATTTAGTATTCATTTGTACATGGGAAGCCCCATCCTAGCACTGTAGCACTGCTTAAGAATGTCTGACACCTGCTCAAAGAGAGGAATTTCATCCAAACCCAAAAGGAGGAAAAACTGTTGTTTTAAGGGTTTCCTAGATTTTTTGGGAGGGGACAGAAGTTTTAAGAGGAGTGCTCTTTCAACATTGTGGGTAGTTTTTAGGGAGGGCTGGCTGGGGAGAAAGAGAGTATGTAAATGCTGACTGGTAGGGAAATGGACTTTTCCAATCTTTGAGCAGGCTGTTTGCTCCGCTCTGTCTCTGACAGGGTCAAGTCAATCCCAAGAAACCAGCATTACCTGGTTCCAGGACTCAGTGGGTTCCAAGTCCAAGTCACCTATTTTTGGTAAGCCCATGATTCTAAGCCTTCCAAGAGTAAAAGTGTCAAACTTTGATTCTGAGAGCCTTTCTATGCAAGTATACTGCTGAATTTTTTGGTTTAAACAATGGTTAGGGATAGAGGGTGTGCTACTGTTCACCTACAGGGCGAGAAGAAGGCAGCCTGTTCTTTCTCACCACTCATCATTTACCTATAGCTTCAGCCCTGGACCACCTACAGCCACGTATTCCTGATGGGAAATTTCTAGATGGGCCAGATCCCAGCTCAAGGCAAGAGACTAACAATTCCAGAACCAGCAACCAAAGGAGACAACCCTGGCCAGTGGACAGACCTCAGTACACCTAACATTACTAGGCTGCACATGAAGGCAGGACCCACGAATCTTTCTCCCCAAATTATTGTGCCTGCTTTGTTCTTTCCCAGATCTTAAGTTCCAAAAGGGGTTGTTTTCCATTTGTAAATATTGCATCTCTCTGAGATATTCTAAGATTAAATAAAAATTGAGTTACTCAAAAGCACAGAGCCACATAAAATTCTGCAATCCTGTTTTGTAACTCCTGCTTTATCTACCTAGTTCCATCTCTGTGCCTCTTCCAAACCTTTTATAAACCTGCTGGATAAGGCCTTGCCTGATTTCTTGGTCTTCCTGTACCACTTCCTCCAGTCTTTACCTCAAAATAGCCTCTTCAGTTTTCATTCTATATTCTATCTTCTTCAGAATCCTTCAGATTCAAAATGCGTCAAGAAAGAGACTCTAAGTTCAGTACTACTCAAGCTTCCAGGATCAGAAACATTTACCTCCCCTGTTTAAATAATATATAACACAATCTCACTGGTAAGCAATAGCCTTTACCATTCTTTTCAGCTCCTGATCCCTTCTATCCCTGTAAATATCTCCATCTCTCTCTCAGAGGACAGAACTGTGGTTCTCAACGTGTTTAAACCATAAGGAGGTGGGGGATGAGGAGAGCAGTAGGGATTTTTCTATGGGTCATTACAATTTTGAAAATAAATATCGAAAACATTATAGATGCCCTTGTTCACTTAATAGCCAAGAAAGCATATCCTATAACATACAATATGCATCTAAGATCATCTGCCACAGCACTTGGCAATGTATAATGATATGAAAATTAAAATCCACTAGATAATCCTTAACTATCAAATACTAATAAATACACATATTAAATGGAAAGAGGGAAAAAATAAATAATCTAGGTTAAAAATAATAGATAACATGTTCTAACTTTTCACATTTTTTCTTATTTTCTCATTTTTTCCTCACTCATTCCTTATTGTAATCCTAGCACTTTGGGAGGCCAAGGCAGGAGGACTGTTTGAGCCCAGGGGTTGGAGACTAGCCTGGGCAATATAGCGAGACCCCATCACTACAAAAAATTTAAAAATTAGCCAGGTGTGGTGGTGCAAGCCTGTGGTCCCTGATACTTGGGAGGCTGAGCTGGGAGGATCACTTGAGCCTGGGAGATCAAGGCTGCAGTGAGCTGTGGTCATGCCACTGCACTATGTCCTGGGTGACAGAGTGAGACCATATCTCAAAAAAAAAGTGGGGGGGCAGGGGAAAGGCTTTCACAGCATAAATAGAGGTAGTGGAATGAATCACTTAATGAAGCAGTGCCATTCTGGGTAGGAAATCTCAACTAGAAACAAGTACCTTGTGTTCAAGATTATGGAAGTCTCATTTTTGCCTTATGTGCTAATGGCATGTCATATTTGATTTATTTTTTGTTGAAATGGGAAGACCTGTCCTCTGTCCCAGGAAGCAAAGTTGTTTGTAAATAAATTTAAAAAATAATTACAATTCTAAATCTCTTCCCATATTACATAACTGGTTTCATATTTTTATGTTAATTCAGCACTCTTTGAAGGCATGTGATATAGTTTAGATATGTGTCCCCTCCAAGTCTCATGTTGAAATTTGATTCCCAATATTGGAGATGCGGCCTGGTGGGGGATGCTTGGATCATGAGGGTGGATCCTTGATGAAGGGCTTGGTGCCATTTTCTTAGGAGTGAATAACTTCTCACTCTTAGTTCCCACAAGAACTGACTGTTAAAAAAAGCCCGGTACTCCCTCCCCTCTCTCTCTTGCTTCTGCTCTCTTACCATGTGACCTCCACATACAGCAGCTTCTCTTCACCTTCCGCAATGAGTAGAGGTTTCCCAAGGCCCTCACCAGAAGCAGATGCTGGTGCCATGCTTATTTTACAGCCTACAGAACCATGAGCCAAACCAACCTCATTTCTTTATAAATAACTCGGCCTCAGGTATTTCTTTATAGCAACATAAATAGACTAAGACAATATACTGCAATATACTTCTTTTCATTTAGTGAAAATACTTCCTTAACAAAGTTCATAGAAAACTCAGTGTAGCCTTGCAGTCATTGTAAATATTTTATTAACTATCCTGTTCCAAAAATGGCCCTTCTCTTCCTACTCACCACCGAGGTCAATTTCATTCCCCCATTTAGGCCAGGCACAGTGGCTCACACCTGTAATACTAGCACTTGGAGAGGCCAAGACAGGGGGAATGTTAGAGGCCAGCCTGGGCAACGCAGTGAGACACCCACCTCTACAAAAATGAAAAAATTAGCCATGCATGGTGGCATGTGCTGTAGACTCAGCTACTCAGGAGGCTGAGGTGGGAGGATCACTTGAGCTCAGGAGTTCGAAGTTCCAGTGAGCCCTGATCATGTCACTGTACTCCAGCTTGGGTGACAGAGCAAGACCCTATCTCAAGAAAAAAATTCCTTTATCCAATTTCCCACAATATCATTCAACAAAAAAAGAAGGGTAAACTGGCTGTTGGAAAGTAACCAGTAGTTATAGATGGACAGAAAATCTTTTGTGTAATCTTCCTTCAATTTTTAAAAAATTTTCACTATGTTGCCAAGGCTGGTCTTGAACTCCTGGTATCAAGTGATCCTTTCTTCTCAGCCTCCTGAGTAGGTGGGACTACAGGCTCACACCATGCCCACTTGAATGTTATTTATTAAAACTAAGCTTTTGATAAAGACTCAACAGCAGAGAATTAAAGATTTTTCTCTTTTTGTGAACATTCAGCGTTCAATTATTCAAAATTACCGATCAAGAATATATTCATATGCTTCACAGTGGTCATCTGAGTGGCAGATTGCTGTCCCCTTCTGAAAAATGTTAAGAAGTCTAGCAATGACACTGGAATAAATGGCCACTTCACCTTTGCATGGAAGGGGTCGATGATAGACTGTAATAGGTAATGATTATGGGTGTCCTGAATGTTTTTCCCTCATTGCCATTTGGTAATAGCAGCCCCTTCCATTTGGGGACTCCTTTCTTATTTCATGTAGTTTTGTAAGGATAATAATCATGTTTGTCTATAGCCTCCCCAATTCCTATCTTCTATTCATCATCACGAAAGTAGGCAATGTGACCCAGGCCTAGCTAATCAGAGACCCCCATTTTCCAGGCTACAGTGATGTGTTCAGGGAGAAGCAAATGATCTCATTAGACAAGTAAGAACCCTCCCTAGAACTTTTGTGATACAATCTAGTGGGTAAGACATTTACGTTTTTAGGATAGAAGTACAGGACAATTGATAGCCTGGAGCTTACTTCCTGTGTCACATGGAGGACATACATACAGTAGAAGAAAGGGAAGCAAGGAGACACAGAGACAAACAGAGACTGGGTCGGGGGGTAATGGGCAAGAGCAAATGAATTTCTCTGATAGTAGAGTCCTGACAGTTTTCTTCTATTTTATGAGTTAAAATTTCTTCCCAGGCTGGGCGCGGCGGCTCCCTCCTATAATCCTAGCACGTTGGGAGGCCGAGGTGCGTGGATCACCTGCAGGCAGCAGTTTGAGACCAGCCTGGCCAACGTGGTGAAACCCCTTCTCTCCTAAAAATACAAAAATTAGGCATGGTGACACATGCCTGTAATCCCAGCTATCTGGGAGGCTGAAGCAAGTGAATTGCTGGAACCCAGGAGGCAGAGGTTGCAGTGAGCCGAGATCGCACCACTGCACTTCTGCCTGGGCGACAGAACAAGACTCCGTCTCAAAATAACATAACATGACATAACATAACATGACATAACATAACATAACATAACATAACATAACATAACATAACATAAAATTTTTTCCCAGCTAGATGAGCTAATAAATTTCTTGTTCTGCTTAAACAGGTTTGAGTTGGGTTTCTATCATGTATAACTTCAAACATCCTGAGTAATATACTGGCTGAGGAAGTATCTGGGGATACAGTCCTGATTTTCTTTTCTATTCACTTAAATAACTGGCTTAATAAACCACTGAGGGCCCAGTGTTCCATGCTGAAGGAGATACTCATGTTAAGTCTAACCTAGAATTTTTCCAAAGCTGGTATTACTAAATCACAGCCAGAGGAAAAAAAATCTCAGTGTGGAAATGATCAGTAGCCAACTGTACAGGCATTGTAGCTTGTTTCTGATAAATGTTTGAGGATAAGTGAGTTGCAAACATTTTCCCTGAGAGATGCTATTCCAGTTAAATGTAGGGAGATATATATTTTAAAAGGTAATTGAGGAGAATCACCAGACTAAAGGGAATAGGTTTAGAATAGTTGATCTCGAGTTACTGTTGGTAAGGCTAATTTGGTAAGGAAGTTTTCTCTTTGGGCTATTGTTTGTACAAATATGACCATATAACAAGTTGGAGAACATTTACCTTTAGGTTTTGTGCAGTTAGGATTCATGCACCCAGGGGACATTCCTATTGTTTTGCATTCAAAGTAAATCTGAGTGGAATTCTGATTCCTAAGGATGGGAACAGAATTGAAAGAGGATCTAAGAACAAAGGATTTGAGGTTAAGATCTGCCCACAGGGAGTCTATGCTATAGAGAAAGTCTGGTGTTGTTACAATAAAGTAGGCCTTTGGAACCTAGTATGTCCTAATATACTTGGGGAGAAGCAATGAACTAAATGGAACCTGAAAGGAATAAGCATGCCAGAAGAATTCAGCATTTTTTTCATTTGTGGGATTGTAACCAAGTATTCCCATTTTTCTAAGAGAAAGAGAATGAGTTGGGTTTTTTTTAATTTTTTTCTCTTCTTTTCTCTTTCCTCCTTTCCCCCTGTTCCCTACTTTCTACTTGGCTCTTTAGAAATGCAATTAGAACCTCTATCTTCCCTTCACCAGACACTGTCTACAGATCAAGCTTATCTAACTGTGTGCTTGGAAGCTCCAGAGCCAAAAACCTCTCCCACCAGGAGATTGCCTCAAGAGATGACAGTCAATTTACAACCTAAAGTATGCCCACTACAAAACTCTTTCCTACATGGAGAATATCCTGAGACAAAGACCACTTTAAAAACTAGTTCTGCCCATGATGGCGCCAGCTCAACCATCTGGTAGATAAGGTACCAAAGTGAGTCACATGGACCCTCACCTGTTCACTCCCTCCCCTGTATGCCATTCATGCCAAGTTCTCCCTTTAAAAGCCCCTGCTTTGTGCTCCCAAAGCAAAGCAGTATCCATAAGGTAGGAGTACTTCTTCCCCTAACCTACCTTTGGAATAAAAAGTCACTTTCTTTATACTAGACCTCTCTCTTGTTAATTAGACTCCGCAAGTGGTGAGCAACTGAACCTGTAATTTGGTTACAGAATTTTGGTGAAACTTTTATTTGTTTCCTCAAAGACAAATAAGGCGCAAATGTGGAGAAACATAATGGGCCCATTCCAATTTCAGAAGAAGAATATGAAGTTAATGTAGTAAACCAGATGTTTCAGTATAACGGTCATTAAATTTCTTTAGCTGTATTGAAAATATGGGCCAACACCAACAATGTAAGGACTGCGTGAAGACAGAGAAATGACACCTCTCTAGCATTCTCTGGTCTGCAGCCAGTAGAGTGTTTTTAGTTGTCCTTGCCTGCTATGAATTGAACACAAAATTGTATATTGTTCAAGAATATTAATAATAAACTGAATGGCCTCAAATGAAACTCTCCTTCTGTACTCAATGTCTAGCACATTGCCCCTTTCTCTTCTCCTTTTAGGATTCCCATAATGCATGTTTTAGGTTTGATGGTATCCCACAGGTCCCTTAGGCTCTGCTCATTTTTCTTCCTTCTTTTTGCTTTCTACTCCTCAGATTGGGTGATTCCTGTTGCCCTATCTAAAAGTTTCCTAATTCTTTCTTCCACCTGCTCAAATCTTCTTTTGAACCCCTCTACTGAATTTTTCACTTCAGTTCTTGTATCTTTCAGCTCCTGAATTTCTACATGGTTTCACTTTATAATTTCTATTTTTTTAAACTGATATTACCTATTTGGTCATGAATTGTTCTCCTGATTTCCTTTAGTTTGTTTGTTTGTTTGTTTGTTTGTTTGTTTGTTTTTTGAGATGGGGTCTTGTTCTATCACTCAGGCTAGAGCACAGTGGTACGATCACAGCTCACTGCAGCCTTGATCTTCTAGGCTCAAGCAATCCTCCCACCTCAGCCTCACTAGCAGTTGAGACTACCTGGCTAATTTTTTCTTTTCTTTTTTTTTTTTTTTTCTTTTGTAGAGACAGATTCTCCCTATGTTGCCCAGACTGGTCTCAAATTCCTGGGCTCAAGTGATTCTCCCACATTGACCTACCAAAGTGCTGGGATTACAGGCATGAGCCATTGTGCCTGGCCCCTTTAGTTCTTTATCCATGGTTTCTTTCAGCTCTCTCAGCATACATAATTTAAAGTCTTTGTCTAGTAAGTCTAATATTTGGACTTTCTCATAGATAGTTTCTGTCCATTTCTGTTTTTCCTATGAATGGCCATACTTTTGTGTTTCTTTGTAGGATTTGTAGTTTTTGTTGAGAACCAGGTTTTCTAATAAAGGTTTAGTATCCAGAATATATTTAAAAAAAAAAAAAAACTCTTACAACTCAACAACAAAATGACCAACAATTCAATTAAAAAATAAGCAAAGGACCTTGAATAGACATTTCCCCACAGTAGATATACAAATGACCAACATAAAAAACATGAAAAAATGTTCAAAATCTTTGATTATCAAAGAAATACAAATGAAAACCATGAGATAACACTTTATATCCACTACAATGGCCATAATTTAAAAATTAAAATTTTAAATTAAAGAAAACAGAAAACAAAAAAATTTCTTTGATTATCAAAGAAATACAAATGAAAACCATGAGATAACACTTTATATCCACTACAATGGCCATAATTTAAAAATTAAAATTTTAAATTAAAGAAAACAGAAAATAACAAGTGTTAGTGAGGATGTGGAGAAATAGAAACACTTGTACATCGGTGTTTCTATTAAATAATGTATTAAATATTAAAATAGTGTAGGCATTGTGAAAAAGTCTGGTGGTTCCTCAAAAAGCTAAATATAGAATTACCACATAACCCAGCAATTTCAGGACTAGCTAAATATCTGAAAGAACTGAAGACAGGTACTCAAGCAAATACTTGTTTGTGAATGTTCATAGCAGCATGATTCACAACCAAAAAGTTGTTGATCCAAATGTCCCAAATTGCCCCCTCCATATATGGCAAGTTTATTTTATAAAATAACCTAAATGTGGGTGTTTATATTGCCTTTATTACTGCTGATATCACCAAAATTCAAACAGAGTATTTTGTTATCTATGCCCAATCTATATCCGAAAGGGAGCTTCACTCCAATGCTTTTCAGAAAATCAATATTCGTACAGTGAAACCTGAATTTAAACGAGTGCCATTTTAACCAACACAGCAGTACTTTTCAGTGCATCGGCAATTTTTGTCAGCTAAAAATACTTTAAACATAAAAGTATATGCTGGTGTGTCCGTGGTGAGTAACCTATCTGAAAAATATATAATTTAACACCTCCAACAATTTCATGTATCTTTCTGATTTAAGGTATTTCAAAGAATTAGGATTAGGCTTTTTTCCTGGAAATGTCTGAACATGTTTCCTGGAATGATCTAAAAATATCTTTGGCTAGATTAGGGCCTTAACTCTAAGACCACAATGAATACCATTAATAGTACCTTAGGCTTCAATAGCAGTTACAATGTGGCCTGCACTGCTTAAATTACTTGACATATAAATAAATATAGTCCTCACAACAACCCTATGAGGTATGTAGACTATTATTTTCCCAACTTTATCACTGAAGAAACTGAGGCAGGCAGAAGATAAGTAAGTTGCCCCAAGTGACATGGGGCAGGGGTCAGGATTCAAACCCAGGCAGGCTGTCCAAAGTCTTTTTTTTTTTTTTTTTTTTGAGAATGGCTGACCTCCATACAATCGAAGAATAAAAAAGAGAATTCTCTTTATCTATGAAATTAATAACAAATAGTAAATTAGTAGATTCTACCTAGTTATTTAACAGATAGTTGCCTTCTTTTATTGAGTTGCCAGGACACCTAAATGGTCTTTTTGAGGCCTAGAAAATTAAAGAGTGGCCATAAAGTCCCCTATTCTGCTAAGTACAAACCTCCTTCCTTTACCACCCAAATTTTAAAATTTCCCCATGTCCTCTGAACATTTTCTATATTGTCAATTACATGTCATCAAAACAGTCTCTAATACAGGCCTGATAGTGGCCATAATATCCATATGCAAATATTCTACCTGACAATAGTCAAAGACCTATAAACAGTAGCAGGGTCTGCTCTAATGACTTCCAATTATTAAAATGAAAGACTTCCAAAAGAAAATGAGAAAAAAGTAGAATCTATGTGGAGAATGGAGGGGGACTCATATGGTTTGGCTGTGTCACCACCCAAATCTTATCTTGAATTGTAGTTCCCATAATCTCCACATTTCATGGGAGGGACCTGGTGAAAGGTAATTTCATCACGGGAGGCGGTTACTCTCATGCTGTTCTCATGATAGTGAGTGAGTTCTCATGATATCTGATGGTTTTATAAAAGGCTTTTGCCCCTTTTGCACTTCTCCTTCCTGCCATCATGTGAAGAAGGATGTGTTTGCTTCCCCTTCCACGACGATTGTAAGTTTCCTGAGGCCTCCCCAGCCACGCTGAACTCTAAGTTAATTAAACCTCTTCCTTTAAAAATTACCCAGTCTCAGGTATGTCTTTATTAGCAGCATGAGAGTGGACTAATACAAGGATGCAGACATAAGTTCAACTGGCATGCACAAGGACTTTGTAGCCAGTGTGTAACTATGCTTATTTCACGAAATCATATTTCAGAATCTGGTCAGGAATAACATGGTCAAGGAAAGTTCAAGATGTACAACAACTGGAATCATCAGATAGAGTAGTTCAGATCACCAGGCTGAACTTGTACTGGGCAGATCTGGCTTCACGTAAAAATAAGAGAAATTAAGACCAATAGGTAGGCCACAGGATCTAGTTTTTAGCCCAGAGAAGAAAGCTTTAGTTAATTTCAAAGTCACATAGACAGAACAGACTTCAGAGCTCCAATTTTTAGGAAACAAGTAGGCAAAAAAAAGAGGTTCTGGGACTCAGGTATATAAGAAGGGTGAGTCAAGTCACAGCTTTGAAATTCTTCCATTGTCTCTAGCTTTCTCTTGACTCTCACCCACTAATGAAGATCTCTAACCTCCCTAATTTCTAGCCCAAAATATAGATACACATTTTCAGACTCCATGTGCTCTCTTGTTCTCTTCAACCACACCTCTAAATGAGAACCAGGGCAGATATAATCACTTCTATTCATTGCTTAATAACTGTTTAAATCTGTCTTAACAAGCTCATACATTTGCCTTTCTGTGTTTTACCTTAAATTGAAGACTGCAAGCCTTCATCTTTTAATGAAGATACCAACAGGCAGAAAAACAATAAGGAGGAAGGGAGGTTGATGATGAAATCCCCCTAGACAGAGAATCAACCATATTTCATATATTTTTTTTCTTTTTTGAGACGGAGTCTCACTCTGTCGCCCAGGCTGGAGGGCAGTGGCGTGATCTCGGCTCACTGCCAAGCTCTGCCTCCTGGGTTCATGCCATTCTCCTGCCTCAGCCTCCCGAGTAGCTGGGACTACAGGCACCCACCACCATGCGCGGCTAATTTTTTGTATTTTTAGTAGAGATGGGGTTTCACCGTGTTAGCCAGGATGGTCTCGATCTCCTGACCTCGTGATCCGCCCACCTCGGCCTCCCAAAGTGCTAGGATTACAGGCGTGAGACACTGTGCCTGGCCCAAATTTCATTTTTAAGGATACCCAGGGAGTAGAGTGAGGGCCAAACACAGCACAGCTACCCCTATCCAAACCGCCCTCCCCTACCCTGGAGATGTTGGGGTAAAATATCTTTACAACTCGCCTCTTCCAAGGCCTTAAGACAACTGTTCCCTATTACATGTTTGTGTTGGTCAGTTCCCCTTCCCTAACACTGGAACCCCAGAAGGGAAGAAAGTTGTTGCAGTCATTTGTAGAGGTAGTCCCTGAATTCATACGGGTACCAAACATTACTTTAGCCCAGGGTTCCTCAATCTCTGCACTAATGACATTCTTAAAGAAACAATTAGTCTGACAATTGTTAAAACAGTAAGAAAGATTTTATTTAGGACTACTGCAACAGGTATCAAGATTACCACAATAGATCAGAGAGATCAGGGACTCAACTCTGAATACAAAAAACACAGATGGGAATTACAGCCAATGAGCAGAGAGAGGGGGTCAGTGGATGGAATATTACTAAGAGGAGACATTGAGGGTAGGGGGATTCTTGATAATCTGACAAACAGGATTCTTGCTGAAAGCAGGCCAGAGTGATCAGATATCAACTTTGGGGGATGCAGAATTTGATCTGATATCAAATCTGATCAGGTATCAACAGTTGGAGGATTCTCACCAAACCGATTTAGCAGAATTCTCGCTAAAACTTAGCTAGACAGACTAAAGACAGGATGGGGCCACAAGTCATGGCTGAGTCGAGAAGAGGGCTCAGAGGAGCCTAAACAAAGCATGGTCAAGGACAATGCTTGTCAACATTTTGGCTCAGATAATTCTTTGTTGCTGGGGGCCTTTCTGTGCATGGTCAGCAGCATCTCTGGCTTCTACCTACTGATTGCCACTAGCATGTGTGTGCATGTGCACACACACACACACAAGTTGTGACAATCAAAAATAACACATTGCTAAATATCCTCTGGAGGCAAAAATCACCCCTGGTTGTGACAACTGCTTTAGACTACAAGCTGATAAACTTTTCCTATAAGAGGCCAGAGAGTAAATATTTTAAGTTTTGCAAGATACATACATTCAATATGCCTATTCCTTGTCTTTTTTTCCCAACTATTTAAAAATCTAAAAACTATTCTTAGCTAGTGGGCCATAAAAAAACAGGTGACTGGCCAAATTTGGTTCATGGGCCATAGATAGTTTGGGGAAATCTACATTAGACTAATTCCCACTCTTCGAATAAATATAGATGGCATATAGATAATGTCATATTTAGCAAAATATGGATTTATTTAAAAGCATAATTAGAGTTTAAGTAACTTTCTATCAATATTATTTTCTCAGTTAAGAGATAACAGAATTAGAGGCAGAATCTTGTAGCATTCTGAAGTATGTTTTTACATTAGAAAGATTTGCTCATTCTCAAACAGCCTAAGGAAAACCACTCTAAAATGTTTACATGAATCTGCCTTTTTCCCGCTAAACATAATCTAAACCTTGCATTCCCATCCCCAGGTCCCAAAATTCCCAGCTATATATTGTTGCTTTCAGGATTTGCTTTTATTGTTTCTTTTGGTTTATATTTATATTATATTTATATGTTTCTTTTGGTTTATATTTAACATGTTTTTCATACTTGCTCTCTTTATCTAGCATTCTGGAATACAGCTCTATAATTAATCTATTCCTGGCCAAGGGCAGTGGCTCACACCTGTAATCCCAGCACTTTGGGAGGACAAAGTGGGCAGACAGCTTGAGCTCAGGAGTTCAAAACCAGCCTGGGCAACATGGTGAGACTTCATCTCCATCAAAAATACAAAAAAAAAAAAAAAAAGCTGGACGTGGTGGTATGCTCCTGTGGTCCCAGCTACTAGAGTGACTGAGATGGGAAAATCAATCACTTGAGCCGGGGGAATGGAGAATGCAGTGAGCTGAGATTGTGCCACTGCACCCTAGCCTGAGTGATAGAGTGAGACTCTATCTCAAATAATTAATAAATAAATAAATGTAATCTATTCCTGACTATAGGGTCTGTGAATATGAAATAGGGCAGTGGGACACATTATCTTTCTTAAGGGTCAACTACATGAGAGCACAAATGTGCCACAATCTTCTCAGCTTTCCCTCCAAAAACAAATATATATTCATATCAGGATTGCCCTGGAAATGGTGATGCTAAAAGCAGCCACAGGACTACAAAGCTACCGAATATGAGTATTTAAGCTTTTAAGCTTTGTGGTGCTTTTGTTTTCAACAGCTACAACAAATGCCACAGAAAGAAAGAAAAAATATATATATATAAAAATATATATATATAATCTTTTGTTTATTTAATGTACTAGATTCCATTAGGTGAGATCTAAATTACTAGAATAAAAAGGAGGAAATATCTCTAAACAAATGCAGGAAAACATGTCCAATATGTAAATCCCAAATCCTATAGGATATATATGCCATGGGCTTATTCTTCCTTGATTAAAACATCAATATTAAAATTTCAGCTTTCATGCTGAGACCCTAAATAGCAAAGCAGCAGCTGATCATCAAAACGGTAGACATATTGTTTATTTTTAACAGTATTTTTAAATCATAAAACAATATATAATCATTGTAAGAAAAGAATATATAGGCCAGGCACAGTGGCTCATGCCTGTAATCTCAGCACTTTGGGTGGCCAATGCGGGAGGATCATCTGAGGTCAAGAGTTCAACACCACCCTGGCCAAATGGCAAAACCCTGTCTCTACTAAAAATAGAAAAATTAGTCAGGCATGGTGGCACATGCCTGTAATCCCTGGTACTTGGGAAGCTGAAGCAGGATAATCACTGGAAACTGGGAGGTGGAGGTTGCAGTGAGCCGAGATCACACCACTGCACTCCAGCCTGGGTAACAAGAAAGAAACTCCATCTCAAAAAAAAAAAAAAAGAATATATAGCAAACAAAAAGATAATAAAAATCACTCATAGCACCAACATGAGAGACAAACCACTTTTAAAACTTCAATATCTTTCTTTCCAGTCTTTTTTCTTTTCTTTACTTTCTTTTTTTTTTGAAACAGTCTCACTCTGTTGCCCAGGCTGGAGTGCAGTGGCACAATCTCGGCTCACTGCAACCTCTGCCTCCCAGGTTCAAGCGATTCTTGTGCCTCAGCCTCCCGAGTAGCTGGGACTACAGGCGCGTGCTACCACATCCAGCTAATTTTTTATTTTTAGTACAGATGGAGTTTCGCCATGTTGGCCAGGCTGGTCTCAAACTCCTGACCTCAGATGAACTGCCCGCCTTGGCCTCCCAAAGTTCTGGGATTACAGGGGTGAGCCACCACACTCGGCCCCTTTCCATTCTTTTTTCTATACTTTCTAATAATTTGATCAATTTTATAAAATCAGGAGCATAATCCAAGGAGAGAGGAAGTCAAACTATCTCTGTTTGCACACAATATGATTCTATACCCAAAGAATCCCACAGTCTCTGCCCAAAAGCCCCTAAATCTGATAAACAACTTCAGCAAAGTTTTAGGATACAAAATTAATGTATAAAAAACTGTAGCATTTCCACACACCAATAACATCCAAGTTGAAAGCCAAAGCAAGAATACAATGCCATTCACAATAGCCACAAAAAGAAAAATACCTAGGAATACAGCTAACCAGGAAGGTGAAACATCTCTACAATGAGAAGTCCAAAATCGTCATTGTAAATTTCTCAGAGAAATCAGAGATGACACAAACAAATGGAAAAACATTCCATGCTCATGGAGAGGAAGAATAAATATTGTTAAAATGGCCATACTGTCCAAAGCAATTTACAGATTCAATGCTATTCCTGTCAAACTACCAATGACATTCTTCATAAAATTAGAAAAAAGTATTTCAAAATTCATATGAAACCTCAAAAAAGCCCAAATGGCCAAGGAAATTCTAAGCAAAAAGAACAAAGTTGGAGCATCATGTTACCAGACTTTAAACCATACTACAAGGCTACAATAACCAAAACAGCAAGGTACTAGTACAAAAACAGACCATAGAGCAATGGAACAGAATAGAGAGCCTAGAAATAAAGCTATACATCTACAACCATCTGATCTTCAACAAAGTTGACAAAAACAAGCAATGGGGAAAGGACTCCCTATTCAATAAATGGTACTGGCATAACTAGCTAGCCATATACAGAAGATTGAAGCTGGACTTCCTCCTTATACCATATACAAAAATCAACTCAAGGTGAATTAAAGACTTAAGTGTAAAACCTAAAACTATAAAAACCCTGGAAGATATCCCAGTAAGTATCATCCTGGATATAGGCCCTGGCAAAGATTTCATGACAAAGGCACCAACAGCAATTGCAACTGCACAGCAAAAAAACTATCAACAGAGTAAACAGACAAACTACAGAATGGAAGAAAATATTTGCAAACTATGCATCCAACAAAGATCAAATATCCAGAATCTATAAGGAGCTTTTTGGATGAGTTTTTAGGGTTTTCTAAGTATTTGATTCTGTCATCAGTAAACAGGGACAATTTGACTTCCTCTTTACCAATTTGGATGCCCTTTATTTCTTTGTCTTGTCTGATTGCTCTGGTTAAGACTTTCAGTACTATGTTGAATAGAAGTGGTGAAAGTGGGCTTCCTTGTCTTGTTCCGGTCCTCAGGAGGAATGCTTTCAACTTTTCCCCATTCAGTATAATGTTGGCTGTGGGTTTGTTATAGACAGCTTTTATTACCTTAAGGTATGTCCCTTCAATGTTGATTTTGCTAAGGATTTTAATCATAAAGCAATGTTGGATTTTGTCAAATACATTTTCTGCATCTATTGAGATGATCATATAATTTTTGTTTTTAATTCTGTTTATGTGGTATATCACATTTATTGACTTGTGTATGTTAAACCAATCCTGCATCCCTGGTATGAAATCCACTTGATCATGGTACGTTATCTTTTTGATATGCTGTTGGATTCAGTTAGCTAGTATTTTGTTAAGGATTTTTGCTTCTATGTTAATCAGGGATATTGGTCTGTAATTTTCTTTTTTTTTGGTACGTCCTTTCCTGGTTTTGGTATTAGGGAATACTGGCTTCACAGAATGATTTAGGGAGGATTCCCTCTTTTTCTGTTGGAATCATTTCAGTAGGATTGGTAGCAATTCTTCTTTGAATGTCTAATAGAATTCGGCTGTAAATCCATCTGTTCCTGGACTTTATTTGTTGGCAATTTTTTTATTACTGTTTCAATCTCACTACTTGTTATTGGTCTGTTCAGAGTTTCTATTTCTTCCTGGTTTAATATAGGAGGGTTGCATATGTCCAGGAATTTATCCATTTCCTCCAGGTTTTCTAGTCTGTAGCCATAAAGGTGTTCATAGTAGCCTTGAATAATCTCTTGTATTTCTGTGGTATTGGTTTTAATATCTCCCATTTCATTTCAGATTAAGCTTATTTGCATCTTCTCTCTTCTTTTCTTGGTTAATCTAATGATCTATCAATTTTGTTTATCTTTTTAAATAATCAAGTTTTGTTTCATTTATCTTTTGCCTTTGTGTTTGTTTCAGTTTTATTTAGTTCTGCTCCAATTTTTGTTATTTCTTTCCTTCTGCTGGGTTTTGGTTTGGTTTGTTCTTGTTTCTCCAGGTCCTTGAAGTGACCTTAGATTATCTATTTGTGCTCTTTCAGACTTTTTGATGTAGACATTTATTTGCTATGAACTGTCCTCTTAGCATCGCTTTTGCTGTATCCCAAAGGTTTTGATCAGTTGTCACTATTATCATTCAGTTCAAAGAATTTGTTAATGTCCATGTTGATTTCATTGTTGACCCAAAGATCATTCAGCAGCAGATTATTTCATTTCCATGTATTTGTATAGTGTTAAGGGTTCCTGTTGGAATTAATTTCCAATTTTATTCCACTGTGGTCTGAGAGAGGAGTACTTGATATAATTGCAATTTTCTTTTTTTTTTTTTTTTGAGACACAGCCTCACTCCGTCACCCAGGCTGGAGTGCAATGACACGATCTCAGCTCATTGCAACCTATGCCGCCCAGATTCAAGCAATTCTCCTGTCTCAACATCCCAAGTAGCTGGGACTACAGGTGCACACCACAACACCCAGCTAATTTTTGTATTTTTAGTAGAGACGGGGTTTCACCATATTGATCAGGCTGTTATCGAACTCCTGACCTCAGGTGATCCACCCACCTCAGCCTCCCAAAGTGCTGGGATTACAGGAATGTAATCCCAAAGTGGCTGGGATTACACAACCGCCCCCAGCTCAATTTTCTTAAATTTATCGAGACTTGTTTTGTGGCCTATCTTATAGTCTATCTTGGAGAATGTTCCATGGGCTGATGAAAAGAATGTATATTCTGCAGTTGTTGGGTGGAATGTTCTGTAAATATCTGTTAAGTCCATTTGTTCTACGGTATAGTTTAAGACCACTGTTTTTCTGTTGACTTTCTGTCTTGACGACCTGTCTAGTGCTGTCAGTGGAGTACTGAAGTCCCTCACTATTATTGTGTTGCCATCTATCTGATTTCTTAGGTGTAGTAGTAATTTTTTTATACATTTGGGAGCTCCAGTGTTAGGTGCATATATATTTAGAATTGTGTTATTTTCCTGCTGGACTAATTCTTTCATCATTATATAATGTTCCCCTTTGTCCTTTTTAACTGTTGTTGCTTTAAAGTCTGTTTTGTCTGATATGAGAATAGCTACTCCTGCTTGCTTTTGGTTTCTATGTTTCCATTTGCATGGAATATCTTTTTCTATCCCTTTACCTTAAGTTTATGTGAGTTCTATGTGTTAGGTGAGTCTCTTGAAGACAGCAGATACTTGGTTGGTGGATTTTTATCCATTCTGCCATTCTGTATTTTTTAAATGGAGCATTTAGGTCATTTACGCTCAACGTTAGTATTGAGATATGAGGTACTGCTCTATTCATCATGCTAGTTGTTGCCTCAATACCTTGTGTTTTTTTTTCATTGTGTTATTGTTTTATAGGCCCTGTGAGATTTATGCTTTAAGGAGGTTCTATTTTGGTGTATGTTGAGGTTTTGCGTCAAGATTTAGAACTCCTCTTAGCATTTCTTATAGTGCTTGCTTGGTAGTAGCAAGTTCTCTCAGCATTTGTCTGAAAAAGAGTTTATCTCTCCTTCATTTTTGAAGCTTAGTTTCACTGGATACAAAATTCTTGGATGATGATTATTCTGTTTAAGGAAGCTAAAGATAGGACCCCAATCCCTTCTGGCTTGTAGGGTTTCTGCTGAGAAATCTGCTGTTAATCTGATAGGTTTTCCTTTATAGGTCACCAGATGTTTTTGCCTCACAGCTCTTAAGATTCTTTTCTTTGTCTTGACTTTAGATAACCTGATGACTATGTGCCTAGATCATGATCTTTTTGCAATGAATTTCCCAGATGTTCTTTGAGCTTCTTATATTTGGATGTCTAGATCTCTAGCAAGACCAGGGAAGTTTTCCTTGATTATTCCCTCAAATAAGTTTTCCAAACTTTTAGATTTTTCTTCTTCCTTAGGAATACCAATTATTATGTTTGGTCATTTAACATAATCTCAAATTTATTGGAGGCTTTGTTCATTTTTTTAATTCTTTTTTTCTTAGTCTTTGTCAGATGGTTAATTCAAAAGCCTTGTCTTCAAGGTCTGAAGTTCTTTCTACTTGTTCGATTCTACTGCTGAAACTTTCCAGTGTATTTTGCATTTCTCAAAGTGGGTCTTTCATTTCCAGAAGTTGTGATTATCTTTTCTTTATGATACCTATTTCTCTGGAGACTTTTTCATCCATATCCTGTTTTTTTTTTTAATTTCTTTAAGTCGGTTTTCACCTTTCTCTGGTGCCTCCTTGAGTAGATTAATAATCAACCTTCTGAATTCTTCATCTAGCAATTCAGAGATTTCTTCTTGGTTTGGATTCATTGCTGGGTAGCTTGTGATCTTTTGGGGATCACATTCTGTCATATTACCAGAATTCCTTTTCTGGTTCCCTCTTATTTGGGGAGACTGTTTCAGTGGAAAGATCTGGAACTCAAGAGCTGCTGTTCAGATTTTTTTGTCCCACAGGGTGATCCCTTGATGTGGTGCTCTCCCCCTTCCCCTAGACATGCGGCTTCCTGAGAAACAGACTGCAGTGATTGTTATTGCCTTTCTGGGTCTAGCCACCCAGTAGGCCTACCAGGCTCTGGGCTGGTGCTGGGGAATGTCTGCAAAGAGTCCCGTGATGTGATCCATCTTCAAGTATCCTAGCCATGGATACCAGCACCTGCTCTGGTGGAAGTGGGAGGGGAGTAAAGTGGACTCTGCGGGAGTCCTTGGTTTTAGTTTTGTTTAGTGCACTGGTTTTCTCAAATGCTGGTTATGCTAGCTGTGAAGCTGTCACACAGACAGACTCACGACCTCTGGTTAGCCAGGGTGTTGCAGGTAGTGGAATTAGCTGTTGTTTTCTCCTTCTTTGGAGCAGGGTTCTGTTATGAGTTGCTATAATAACTTCAAGTGGTTGGTTTCCAGCCAGGAGGTGGTGCTTTCAAGAGAGCACTTGCTGCAGTAGTAGAAGGGGGATATAACCTTGCCCTACATAGGCAAAGATAAGTGCTCTGGTTTCTCAGGTGATGGGTGGGGCCATAGAACTTCCAACCAAGAGTTTATGTGTTTTTGGCTACTAGGGCGGGGAGAGGAAAAACATCAGGTGGGGACAGGGTTAGGCGGGTCTGAACTCAGACTCTCCTTGGGTAGGATTTGCTGCGGCCACTGAGGAGGATGGAGGGTAGTTCTCAGGCCAATAGAGCTATGTTCCCAGGTGGATTATGCCTGCCTCTGCTGCACCCTACAGGTCATCAGGGAAGCGGGGAAAGTCGGCAATGACAGGTCTCACCCAGCTCCCAGCAAGGCCAGTCTCACTCCCACCATGCCTCGATAACAGCACTGAGTTTATATCCAGCAGCTGGCAAGCAGGGCTGAGATCTTGCCCCAGGCTACAAGCCTCCCTGCTGAGAAAGCAAGCAGGGCTCTCAGGCCTTGCCCCTCCCCACCTGCCTGCACCTTTGGCTGTAGCTTCTGCACTCCTATCCGCGCTTCCTGTTCACTCCTCAACCCTACATTCTACTCAGGAAAATTCGTGCTCAGTCAAAATTATTACAAAGTTCAGCTAGGAGTTTCCTTCACTCTGTGGCCCCTCCCCAATTCTGCTGGCTGCCTTCCCTTCCCCAAAGACCCCTGTGATATAAGGCCAGGAATGGCTTCCCTGGACTCTAGCTGGGGACCTGGAGTGCCTACAGTGCTCTTCCCACTACTTCTTCTACTTTTATATTTCACTCAGCTCCCTAAATCCGTTTCAGCTCTAGGTGAGGTTAAATCCTTCTCCTGTGAGCTGGATTTTCAGGATTTTCAGGTTCCCAGTGGGATGTGGGTGCAGAGGCAGACTTCTCCTCCTCTCACACCTTGGGAACTCACGTAGAGTTTGCAGCGGTAAGCTGCTTCTTTCAAAGGGTCTGTGAATTCTTTCAGTTTTCCTGGTATGTTCCTGTGGTGGTTCTTGGAGCAAAACTTCACAATGTGAGTCTCCATATGCTGTTCTGTCTGTCTAAGTGGGAGCTGCCTGTTAATCCTGTCTCCTATCTGCCATTTTCCCACTCTCTCTCCACCAGCTCGAGTTATTTTACAAAAGTAGGAAGCATGTAGAATTGGTAGAAATCAGTTGGCTCATTTAAATATTCATTTGTCCTTTCATATGATCAATATTGAATACTTACGTTGGGTGATAGACGCACAGAAATAAATAAGATGCAGCTCACGGTCTAAAAGAGGTAACTGAACAAACAACTAAAACAGTTTGATGAGTCAGATGAAAGGAAAAGAATGGAATACTATGGCAGCATTTGCAATCCCATTACTGGGTATATACCCAAAGGAAAATAAGTTGTTCTGCCAAAAAGACACATGCACTCACACGCTAATCACAGCACTATTCACAATAGTAAAGACATAGAGTCACCCTAGGTGCTCATCAACAGTGGACTGGATACAGAAAATGTGGTATATGTACATGATGGAATATTATGCAGCCATTAGAAAAGAATGAAATCACATCCTTTGCAACAATATGGATGCAGCTGGAGGTCATTATCCTAAGAGAATTAATGCAGGAACAGAAAACCAAATGCCACATGTTCTCACTTATAAGTGGGAACAATAGACACTGGAGACCATTAGAGTGGAGAGAGAGTGAGGGGGGAAAGAGCTGAAAAATTACCTATTGGGTACTATGCTCACTACCTAGGTGACAGGACCATTTATACCCCAAACCTCAGCATCACACAATATACCCATATAACAAACCTGCACATATGGATAAAAGAAAAGCATTGCCCACAATGGATGACTGATTGTGGAGGAGCTACACTGGTGAATGCAGAGGAGTGTCATGATCAGAATACACCAGTCATAACATAAATGAATGGAAAGAAAACACCAATTATAGTAGTTGAGAAGAGAGATGATGAAGGTCTGGACCAGAACCCTTACAATGAATGTAGAGAAGCAGAAGTGTAGTTTTAAGAGAGATTTAGCAGGTGAACTCAAGAGTCCCAAGCAGATATGCAGAGGGAAGAAAATGAAGTAAAGGATAATCCTAGATTTCTGGCTTGAGCCACTGAAAAAGAAAGGCAGCAAAGCACAGTAATTAGGACTACATGCTCTAGAACCAGACAGCCTGGCTTGAATTCCATCTCCATTAATTAATCCTTTTGTGACCTTGAGATAATTTCTTAAACTCTATGTGGTTCGGTTTCCTTATTTGTACGATGAGAAAAATAATAGAATGTATCTCAAAGGATTTTGTAAGGAATTACATGGAAGATCTTAGAATAGTGCCTGGCACACAGGAAACACCTGATAAATGTTAGCTACATTTGGTTGATGGTTGATGGTGATGCCATTTACCAATACAGGGAATATGAAAGAAGGCACGGATTTCAGGTGTGAAGAACAATGAGTTCAATGCCAGACACGATAACCTGACCTGACTGTGGGACATCCAGGTCTAAAGCTTAGGAGAGAGTTGTGGGAGTTGGATGCTACTTTATAAAGTGGACGCTAAGGTGATGTCTGAGCAAGTTCCTAGCCAACATGAAAAAGCAGGCCCTGAGGGAAGAACATGTGGGTGAGATGTGGAAAGAAGAAAAAGCTTGGAAATTTCCTAAATCCAAGGGATGAACAGAGAAAAAAAAGACTGAAAAGAAGAGGAAGACTCACAAACGATTCTTCTAATAAAGAAGTACCATAAAACTAAAGAAAAAAACAAAAATATGAATGACATTGAGATGAGGAAAATATACCATCATCCATAGGGAACAGGCTTAAAGATAAGAAATACAGGGCAGGGACAAAAAGATACATCTCAATAAAAAGTGACATTCCCTAGAATAGTGTTTTAAGGTTTACTATTTGAAAGAATTACCTAGAAGAACTGCATAATGAAATCTCCAAGTTAAGGGCCAAAGGCTCTTTTCCTTAACAAGAAGGAGAAGCCTCAGAAAAATATTATATAGTAAGCAAGAAAATATTTTTCTTTTTTTTTTTTTTAAATGGAGTTTTGCTCTTGTTGCCTAGGCTGGAGTGCAGTGGCGCAGTCTCGGCTCACTGCAACCTCTACCTCCCAGGTTCAAGTGATTCTCCTGCCTCAGCCTCCCGAGTAGCTTGGGATTACAGGTGCCTGACACCACACCCGGCTAATTTTTGTATTTTTAGTAAAGATGGGGTTTCATCATGTTGGTCAGGCTGGTCTCGAACTCCCGACCTCAGGCGATCCGCCCGCCTCGACCTCCCAAAGTGCTGGGATTACAGACATGAGCCACCACGCCCGGCAAGAAAATATTTTTCAAGGAAAGAAATCAGAACATAATCTGACTTCAGCAAAAAATAATCCAAACTGCATTTTACAAATAAATTTCTGGCCCCAAGTTTTCAGTTACTAAACCCAAAGAGCCATTTAAAATCACATCAATTTTGGGCTTGAAGAAAGTGAGAGACATCCATTTAATCCAGATCATAGATATGAGAACTACTTTGGAGAGCTCGTTAAAATGCACATAAACTGAGTTATCCAAGACGTATTGAATCAAAATCTCCTGGTATGTGGTCAGGAAAAATTCTCTGCTTCTTGAAATGTCTAAAATAAGCTTACCAGATGATTCATGTGCACACAGTTTGAGAACCCGTAATGTATCTGCTCAGGAGACCAAGGACAAGAAAAAATAAATGGCTTGCACAATAGCACATATCAGAATCACCTAGAGCAGGGGGTCCCCAACCTCTGAGACCCAGACTGGTACCAGTCTCTGGCCTGTTAGGAACCAAGCCACCAAGCAGGAGGTAAGCAGTGGGTGAGCTTTACTTCCTGAGCTCCACCTCCTGTTAGATCAGCAGTGGCATTAGATTCTCATAGAAGCGCAAACCTTATCGTGAAATGCACATGTGAGGGATCTAGGTTGCACACTCCTTATGAGAATCTAACTAACGCCTGATGATCTCAGATGGAACAGTTTCATTCTCAAGCCACGCCATCCCCGTCATCCATGGAAAAATTGTCTTCCACAAAACCAGTCCTTGGTGCCAAAAGGTTGGAGACTGCTGACCTAGAGGGCTTGTTAAATATAAACCTCAGCCAGGCACAGTGGCCCACGCCTGTAATCCCCACACTTTGGGAGGCTAAGGCGGGCAGATTGCTTGAACTCAGGAGTTCAAGAAGGTGGGGCAACATGGTGAAACCCGTCTCTACAAAAAATAAAAAAATTAGCCAGGCATGGTGGCAGGTGCCTGTCATACCAGCTACTCAGGAAGCTGAGGTGGGAGGATTGTTTGAGCCCGGGAGGTCAAAGCTTCAGTGAGCCAAGAATGTGCCACTGCACTCTAGTCTGGGCAACCAGAGTGAGGATTTGTCTCAAAAAAAAAAAAAAAAACTCTGAGCTCCACCCTCTGGGCTTCTGATTCAGTCCAAGAATTTACATTTCCAACAAGTTCCCAGGTGAAGTTTGCACTGTTCATCTGGGGACCGCACTTTGAGAACCTCTAGTCTAGACTAGAGTTGTTAGAGACTTTTCTCTGAGTACATCAGTTCAGTGTGGCACTATACACTTAAAGACCAAGACAAGGGTATTTCAGAAATGATGTTAAAAATGAAATGGAAAACACGACCAAACATAAATTATACATATTTATTTTAAGCCATTCTGGTCAATTAGAACAGACAAAAAAAAAAAAAAAAAAAACTGGAAAAGATCCAAACTATGCTCGAAAGAAATTATAAGGGTCATAGAATATGTGAAGAGACCAAAATGGATGAATTAATTAAAAAGACTAAATTTACAAAAGAAGGCACAGATTATAATTTAAAAATTGATAAAATTATGAAAAGATATGTGCAAAATGAACAAATTTCAGATTTACAGCATTATGTAGGTGGTTTGATTATTTGACCCTAACAAGTCACTTTTTAGGTATATTTTTGTGTTATTTACTAAAACAGTTTTGGGGCTAGATTTTTATTCAAAACCACTTTTGAAAATGGCTTCCCACTGGCTCCCCACACAAAGCCAGGGAAGCCACAGAGAAACATTCCTCACTCACCACCCCAATTCTGCATGACTCAGACATTCCTGGCATTACATTAGAAAGGAGAGCCTTCTAATGCTGCCATAACTGCTCTTCTTTTCTCATGTAGACGACTTTTAACCCTGAAATAGCATATTCAAATATACAATTATCTCAACAGCTCAGAATATCTGTAATTGCCTCTATCCACCTGCTATTTGTCTCACTGTTCTGAGAACACAACCAAATTTCATAACAGATGAATTCTACTGACAGCCTCTCCTGAGGACTATCATACACATTTTGCATCATACTGTCTTCAAGCTTTCAGAGTCCATCTTCAAACCCATTTTCCACTTGGGTGGTCCTTGTTATGCTACCTTTAGTATCCACCATCATTTCCTCGGAAGAAACCAATACACCCAAGTGTTACATCCTTTCATTATCCAAGTCAGTCCTACAACCACCTAAGCTACTCCCTCTACCTTCTTAGTATCCTTGCCAGGCCTTCCCTTTTACATATATTTGTTTTTGTACTCTTCACACCCCACTCCCAAAGTCTCCTGCACAACTCAAAATAACCTCACGTCTAAGGCAACAATATTTGGTTTCTGACCTTTTCCAAACCAGTATAAATATCATTCTATCACTCATGCTGCTTTCTAGAGCTAAGAGGCAAGAACATGTTCCAAACAACTTCTGCTCTACAGACAGGTGAATGGTTGTAAACGACTATAGGTTATCCCCAGGATTCATGAGTGGCTAATTCTTTATCATAAGAATGTTCATTCTGCTAAGGACCTTGAAATTAAAGCTCCCTAAAACATCAGAGGAGCTCTCATTGGTTGGAGTTAACTGGGAAAAGCCCTGTAACAGAGGATACACACACACATTCCAAACTTAAGACCAAAACTCAGAGTTCATCAGAGTCAAATCCCGAATTTAAGAAGTCATTACCCAACAAATGCTAACATAAAACTTAAACACAGGCTCAATGCCTATTAACAATTATTAAATCTTAGTCTAAAATGAGCTCCAAATTTATGCAATACCACTTTGTTCCTGAAATACCTTAATTAGAAACAGAACTTCATAAGAAGTCCTACGTGGACATAAAACTGCTATTTATGATTATCAGCTTTTCTGTTCCGTATCTTAAACTGTCTCTAAAATGATAGACTTGGAAGACTAGGGGGAAGGGAAGGTTAGGGAGAGATTTCTTAAAGGATACAAAATTACAGCTAGATAGTTAACTATAGTCATCCTACCATGGTATAGAACAGAAGAACTTATTTCTCCTATCTAGCTATAATTTTGGATCCTTTAACAAATCTTTCCCTAAGCCTCCCTTCCCCCTACTCTTCCCAGAAAAGCACACAATCATAAATAGCTGTTTTGTGTCTACACAATAAGTTGCACTAAATTTTTTAAACTACAAAGATCCTAGGTAGAGGTCTGATTTTACTGGACCAGAGTGTCAATCTCTGTTGACATTCACTTGCAATATGCAGATTCCCAAGTCCTGCCCCTACCATTCTGATTCTGATTTTGATACACTAGTTTCAGGCCTACTAATATGAAATTTTTAATGTGTTTTTTTAGCAAGCACTCTAGTAACACTTTGGGAAATATTGCAAAACACCCCCCCACCCCCACAAGAAGATCATTTATAGAGGCAAATTATAAAGCATTAGAGGTATATCTAATAAGGAAGTTTCTGATTAACATAGGAACTCTTCTACAATACTAACAGATTGACTTATTGATTTTAATAAGAAAGAATATCAACATTTATAGTCAAATAAATAGTACATGCCTCTGTAAATTATGAAGCCTGAACAATTATTTTAACAATACTACCATTGCTTGAAACTCAGTCACTTCGTAGAATTTATTTTCAATACAGTGTATGAGTCTTCAAATTACAAAAAGAAAAATTGGTTTCCTTATGTTATTGCTCCTTCTTGGTTTTGATCAAAATTAGAGAACCCCAGGTATGATCATCACCCAAGTTCTAAATGAGTTTAGACTATTTCCTAAGTATATCCTTACAAGGTTGATATTTGCCACTAGAGAAAACAGGATGCTTAGAAGAATGCTACCAGAGGGTCAAGATGCAGTTCTTAAGAAAAGATTTTTTAAATGCTTCACATAGAGGATAGAGTACAGCCTCTCCCTAAGACATTTTAAACAAGATAATGTTCACATGGATGTGTAAGTTCAAGTAGACTTGCTTTAAAAAAAAAAAAGTATAACATATTATTGAGCATTACTGAACACATGTCAATAATAATGAGAAAAGAAGACATTACCTGGGGCTGCTGTCTTCAATAACCTACTGCTGGGTTGTATTTGCTCACTTCACTCTTCAGAGGAGCGGAAAGATTTTTCTAACATTTGGCTCTGCTGGAAACCCCTAGAAGAAGACTTTAAAAATCTATGAAGAGGAATAAAAATAATAATTAATAAACTGCAAAATCCAATCTGAGTATCTCTATTTTTTCTCCGCTCGCATTTACCACTACATGTTGTACACTGAGTGGGTTCTCCCAGTGTGCATTTGTCTTCACCATAAAAAAATAAATAAATAAGCAAAAAGCAAATCTTTATTTAGAAATCTGAATGCTAGCCAAAAATGAGAAACTCCTGCTGGGTAACAGAAAATAGAAAAGGATTCTTCCATCTTATAAGAGATGTCAAACAATTATATGCTTCTTTTGGGAGTGAAAAAAAGTGTGAAAATAAATCCATATCCATGGGTCAACAGTATCATATTAAGATAATAATGATAGCATAATATAAAATAGCAAAGAAAGGAGCACAAAAAACTTTTTATAAACAATTTCAAAAAATGTACACATTCCCAAATATTTCTGAGTAACTTTGACCTCTCTAGATACTGACAATTCATAGTTCAGGTTTTCGCCATCCAACGGGCAAAGTCTACTTTGGTCTTAGACACACATCTCCTATCATCAGGCCTAACTGGCAAGATAATTTTCGTAACACAAATGTGTGGCTTAATGCCTACCTTACAACCAGAAAAACATGAGCTTGAAGAGAAGCTGGCAAGGAAATTATCCTACCTGGGAGAAACACAGAGAACAAAACGTAGAGGTGTCCAAGACAGCAGTAAGAACATCTAGAGAGACTAACCCTTAGCAGTTAGCCAGAAGCCAACATAGATACTAAACAAAACCACAAGAAGCCACTATTTGATATCACAATAAGTGGAGGCCAGAGAAAATGTCCAAGAGAGTACATTTTTTAAGGAAATAATAAATACTATACTTAAATTTAAAACATGGAAACAGGCTGCTCTGCCTATGGAGTAGCCATTCTTTTATTCCTTTACTTTCTTAATAAACTTGCCTTCACTTTACTCTATGGATTTGCCCTCAATTTTTTCTTGCGTAGGTGCAAGAAGCCTCTCTTAGGGTTCTAAAAAAATAAAAAATAAACATGGAAACGATTTAAATGCCAATAACTGAGGAAGTCAGTTTGTCACAAACTGTAAATTTGCCACAACCACATAATTTACTTAATCACAATTCTGTTGGCCATTAAAAACTTTTCATTCCATAATATGTATATATAAATATACTTCAAAACATCAAGCTGTACATAATATATACAATTTTATGTCAAATTTTTAAAGTAATTTTTAAATAAAAAAGAAATGTTATGAGTTACAATAAAATGGGAATATGTAGTTTATAATACAAAGTGGAAAGAAAAAGCAGGGTACAATGTTGTAATTACATATGATCACAACTACTTATGCAAAAGAAAAAAACAAGATGCAATTTCTTCTGATATAGTTACAAATAATAGGTAAAATAGTTCCTATCTTTAGATGGGTTGAGGGGAGCAATTCAAGTCAGAGTCCTGTAAAACAAATATGTCTTTTTGAAATCTCTATATAGCCATGATTTCTCAAGCCTCAAAGGGTAAGCCACTTTCACATAATAATTTTTCTGCAATAGTCCAATATAATAAAAGATGGCCCTAGAAGTCTCTACAAAAGGTGTTGTGTATGTGTGTTTAACCTATGTGTGTATGTGTGTCAAAGGCTTAGAATGTACCTTCTCTTATAACAAATATTCGTGAAAAGAAAAAAATGGGGGTGGGGGGACACAGTGTGACCTAAATCTTCAAAACTAGGCACAGGAGTAGCAGTGGCAAGGCATGAGAAGAGTGGAGTATGAAAAGTAAAGGATAACGTTTTGCATGCAAAAAACAAATTCTTCATATTCAGATTTCCTCAATACCCTCAAATCAGCCTTCTTCAGTCTAATCAATTAATCATTTATTAACCACCTGGGAACTACCAGTATCACCTCATAACCAAATATCTGGCCATTTAATCGCAAGGGGTTTTACAAGTAACAGAATTCTCCTTCTTCCGTATCCCACAGGAACAGTTTTATCATCATGTGCTGGAGAGATACAGGCTCTTTTACCTCCTCTTAAGAATTACAGATTGCTGCTAGATGCTTTTCAGGTGATTTCAAGCCTTTTCTCATCTTGCAATTTGTGAATTATGAAAGGGCATCCCTAATTCATGAGAAATACTTCTCCCATCTCAATGTCCATTATCATATATCCTCCCCTTACACTCTACAATTTTAGGCACTCGCACACATATGCTTTTACTTAGGTAATAAGGCATTGCTGGGTATCAGTTAAGGGCTTTACTAAGAACCACTCTTATATTTTACCATCATGATCCCGCCAGCAGCAACGCTTCATGACTTCAAAGGAAGCCGAGTCCTTTGACAGTAATGCACAGAATGACATCGAAAGCAAGGTTAAGTGGAATTCAAGTAAATTGAAAGAACTCTCTTAAAATTCACTGGTTCTTGATAATTCTCTTGGTTGTCATCTCATTTAAAAACAAAATATGTCTCCTGCCAAAAAGGGGGGAAGCTGGCAGTTAACAATTCAGTCACACTCAAATCTCTCCCCAGGCAAATGCTTTCCTTCTAACAAAACATTCTACCTCCACATAATATAATCAAATTCAGGCTCACAGTCCTGTGTAATAGCTATATCACATCCCTAATTTCAACAAAGGAACAAAATTTAAAGCTCATTTCCAGATGGCATAAATTCAGTGAATTTAGACCTCTACTATGTCAAGTTCAGAAATATGCTAATAGGCAGGGAGTACACAAAAGCACAGCAAAACCACCAAATGAACACTTTGTTGGGGTGGGGAGAGAGAATTAATATCCACATCATGGATTTCTCCATACACCAGAGAAACAAATGTGGGTGGGGTGCACATTTATACAAGAGGTGTGGATTATCCATAGCATTGTATTAATTGATCTGTAATATAATCAAACGCTTTCCTGGAGGATAATTAACCAACCAACCAACGAAGAGAGAAGTTTCAAACAATTCAATAAGTTTTCAAACACATGAAGCTGACTATGAGCTAATTATTGAATAATTTCATTCTCAAAAAGGATTGAACTGGGACAGGTAATACATTATATTCACATGTGGAATCTCCCATAGTAGAACAAAATATTCTACACAGGTCCACAAACTTCACTGATTCCATTAAGCACGTTAATAATAACTTAAAGTCTTAAAATGGATGGACCCATACTTATCACTTCAATGCAATCCCTGAGTTTTACAGAGGATAAAACTGAGGCACAGAGAGGATGAGTGACCTGTTCAAAATTAAGTTGTGCTAAAAGATGAAGACAGAGGTAGAAGCCATGTCTTCTAAGCCCCACAGTAATACTGTCTTCTCCATATTAAGCTCACAATTCCTCAACAGTGTATCCATTAAGTTGATTTTATTCCTCCTCTCAACAGCAAACCTTCTAAAGCTTTAGGAAAAGTTGAACCAAATGAAGCTTCAATCTTCAATTTCTGTTCAATCAATCCCTGAGATTTCACATTAATTTCATACAATTCTTTTTTACCCAAGAAACTGAGTGTAATTTGGATGACTTTGGGAGGGTCTCAACTACAAAACAAATTCGTGAATTGGAGCATACCACAAGGGAAGGAAAAGAAAGCAGGCAGAGACCACAAGTATCTTAGAAATACACCAAGAATACTGACTTACTAAAATGAATAATGAAGGTGAATGAAACCAAATTCTAGTATTAAAGTGATGTTTCCCAATGTGACAACTACTCATAAGGTGTTTTTTTTAAGTAGTTATTGTCCAAGGTTCTGTAGTTAAATAAATTTGGGGAAATGCCACATTCTAAATGTTCTTCTTGAATATTCACAAAACACAGTACGTATATTAAGGCTCTAAGAAGGCCTTGTAGAAAAGAAGTCTGCTTAGTTTTGTTTAGCCCAATATTATTTGACATCTTTGGTTTGCACAGCTAGTATTGATAACCTCCAAGAAACATACTTCAGGAAGTATATACGGCATTCTTGGTGAAAAACCCAAGTCTGACACTCAATAAGCAGTATTTATAATGAGATGACCGCCCTCTTCCAGACTCAGCTGTTAAAAATCAACCTGTGAGGCAAAGGAATCTTGTTTTTACAACGAAAATCACCACCACCACTAGCATGTAATAAGTGCTAACAGCAAGGCATGTGCTACATGTAGATTTTTTTTGAAATGAGGCTAGGCATGTCTTCAGCCACCAAGTTAGCTTTCCCAGAAATTGTATCTTTTCACATATAAACAAAACATCTTGTATAAATGTTTTTTACACAAATAAACATATTATACTATTTCATACATTGGCAATGTTTCCAAATTGGTACCTAAAGAGAATTCACTGGTGTGGATTTTTATGGTCGAACATTTTCGAGTGTACAGCTGTAACATAATGTATTGATTCAGTATCCCATTATGAACATTAGGTTGTTTCCAACCTTTAGCCATTATAAACACTACTACAATTAATAACTTTGTACATAATTTTCTCATGCATGTAATAAGTATGTACAGTATATGCAGAATACATTCATAGTGCGTATGAATGTTTGCATGTCTAGGACTGTGTTTTTGTATCTAGGATAAATTTCTAAAACTGAAATTCCTAGATAAAGCAATATGAAATTTTCATATTATAGATTTTGCCAATTGCCCACTAAATAGACTAATGTTTTGCACCTATACTCTCTACAGAATAGGTTATAAGACTTTGTAATCTTTGTCCATCTAACAGTGATAAATGGTACCTCGGTGTAGTTGTAATGTGCGTATCTGTGATAATGGGTGAAGTTAAGCATCTTTCCATATGTTTAAAAGCCACTGTTATTTCCCTTCCTTTAGACTATTTGTAGCCTTAGTCCATTTTTCTTCTGGTTTTTGGACTTTTTCTTATGGATTTTAGGAGCTTTTTATTAAGAAAATTAGTCCCTTCATGATTTGAGAAGCAAATATTTTCCCCAATTTTCTTGTTCCTTGAAGTATGCAGAAGCTACTCAGGTTTTTTAAAAAATGTAATCAAATATATCAATCTCTTCTTTTATGGCTTCTCAGTTTTCTATCTTACTTAGAAGGGCCGTATGTACATACTCCAAGATTATAAAATAACTTTCCCATGTTATTCTACAATCTAGTTTATATTTTAAATTTGTTTATCATAGATTGATTTTTGGCTTAACATTTGAGATACTGCTGCAAATAGTACCTTTTCCGCCAGACAGCTACCTGGTTATCCCTCAGTTATGGAACTGAGCAACTTTACCCGACTAATTTGAAATACCACCTTTATTGTATGCTAAATATGGTATCTGGCAATACCAATGTTTCAATTATTGTAGACTTACTAAGCTAGATTTTATTCTCTTTTTCAGAATTGTCCTATTTGTGGTTGTTTACTTTTCCAAATGACCATAGAACCAGCTTGTTTAGAGCCCCCAAAAATCCTGTTGTTATTTTTACTGGAATTACATAAAAATACAGATTAATTCACAGAGAATTGGCACCTTCACATCCAAGAATATGATGGGACCTTTCCATTTTTTCGTATCTTTTTTTTTACACATCAGGAGCATTTTTAAACGCCTTCACATACAGCATCCATATTATTTTCCTAAGTTTATTCTTAGGTATTTCATCCTTTTTATGCTAATGGCCTTTTTCCCCAATATATCTTCTAACTGGTTATTGTTAGCATATATGGAAGTTATGAATGCTGACACATTACTTGGGTATCCAGGCACATTTATAGATTATCATATTCTTCGTAATTAGCTTTTTATTTTATTCTCTTGGATATTTGAGTCACATATTCCCATTATTTGCAAACAACATTCATTTACCTCCTTTCTGATTTTCTTGATAACTTCATTATTTTCTCTCATCCAGCAGCACTGGTTTATGATTCCAAATACCATTAACAATTAGTGAAAATAGTAAACATTCTTATTTTGGGTTCTGATGTTAATGGAAATGCTCTCAAATTTCCTATTTAGGCTCAGATGGTTTTAGGTTGAGATGAACATACTTTACTTTGCTAAGGGTATTTTCCTATTATATTTTAAAGGGTTTTTATAAAATCAATAATAGGTCCAGGTGCAATGGCTCACAACTGTAATCCCAGCACTTCTGGAGGATGAGGTGAGAGGATTTCTTAAGGCCAGGAGTTCAAGAGCAGCCTAGGCAACATAGCAAGACTTCGTCTCGACAAAAAAAATGAAATAAAAAAATTAGCCAGGCATGGTGGTGCACACCTGTAATCCCAGCTACTCAGGAGGCTGAGGTGGGAGCATTGCTTGAGCCCAGGAGTTTGAGGCCACAGTGAGCCATGATCTTGCCACTGCGCTCCAGCCTGGGCAAAAAAAAAAAAAAAAAAATCGGCCGAGCACAGTGTCTCATGCCTGTAATCCCAGCACTTTGGGAGGCCAAGGCAGGCGAATCACAAGGTCAAAAGATCGAGACCATCCTGGCCAACATGGTGAAACCCCGTCTCTACTAAAAATACAAAAATTAGCCAGGTGCGATGGTGGGCACCTGTAGTCCCGGCTACTCAGGAGGCTAAGGCAGGAGAATTGCTTGAACACGGGAGGCGGAGGCTGCAGTGAGCCAAGACTATGCCATTGCACTCCAGCCTGGCAATAAAGGGAGACTCTGTCTCAAAAAAAAAAAAAATCGATAATAGAGATTGAATTTTATCAAATGCCTTTTCTATAAAAAAAAACAGATGACTTTTTTCTATTTATATTTAATAAGATGATGAACCCTTCTTGCATTCCCGAAATAAACCTCAACTGTTACAGTGTTTTATTCTTTTAATATGTACGAAGTACATGTTAAGCAAGTTATTTCCTAAGCAGCCCCACAAACTGGGCACTACTACCATCCTGCTCTGCCCCTCCCTCACTCTACTTCAGCCACTTCAGCCACAATGGCCTCTCCTCACTGCCCCTCTGATGCACCAAGCTTGTTCTCACCTCAGGAATGTGCAACACCTGCCAGACTTGCTGTTCCCCGGAGCCTCCATCCCCAGATATCCTCATATATCATCCTCCTCTTCATTTGTGTCTCTGCTTACATATGACCTATTTACAGAAGCCTTTCCTGTCTACCCCCCATGAAATAGAAATCGCATTCCAATCTTGTCTCTACCCCAATGCTGTTTCATTTTGTCTGTAGCAATTGTCATCATCTCATATATATTCACATGTGGAAAATACACAAAATGTTTAACTTCTTTTAATTTACATTCCATTTCCCCATGAATTGAAGCTCCATGACAGCGGAGATTTTTCTCTGCTTTCCCTGTTGCTCACTTCCCAGCACCAAGAGCAGGCCTGGCACATGGGAAGTACTTACTATTTATTGAATGGATGAATGAACAAATGAATGAATGGATACTTATTTTACACATAAGAAAACTGAAGCTTATAGAAATTAAGTAACTAAAATCACACAGAAGCACAGCTGAAACTAAAACCTACGTCTAACTTTCAATTCCTGACCCTTAACCATTAAAACAAATGACAGGTGACTTTAGGCCACTGAAAATGCTCATATAATCTTATGAATTCTAAAGCACAAGTTAATCACACCATTGATTGAAAGTCTGAGGAATACTGTATAGACAAGCCCCTGTACAAGGTAAGCAAAAGAATCAGAGGATGGCCTCCAAAGAATTCCCTGGACATTATGGGAATTACATTGTTAGCCTTCCTACTGATACCCATAAGCCTCACAGCAAGCATCATGAAGCTGTGACCTTCATCTGCACATGCCCTTGTATACCCAAAAGATAAAACTGGATGCTTCAGGGCCGAATGGCCAATAAACACGTGTTTATTACTGGCATGGGCAGACACACATACTGAAAGTACCATTTCCCAGCGGACTAGCCATATTATGATCAGTACAGACACTAAAGATTTAGCTTTGAAAAAACTATTTGCTCTTCCAAAGCTGAAGAATCTTCTGTGATTTCAACAGGCAAGTTACAGTCAGGTATTCTTAATGTTCTTTTCCTCCTCTCTCACTGGGATACTTTCTTTCCTTCAGACAACGTCAAGCGAAAAACAAAATTTCACAAATCTCCATTTCTGACACTAAACAGTACAGTATCTTTATTTTTTTTATAATTTAATCAAACCCTGTATTTTAGAACTGTGGGGCTGATCCAACATTGCAATGTGTCACATTTAATTCCATCAATGTAAAGCATAATGAGCAAAGATTAAGGTAGTGAGGCATAACTAAATGTTTTGAACCTGTGAATTTCAAAAGCAAGGCCCATTTGTGTTATTTTCTAAATAGTAAATAAAATCATTTTCCAACATTTCACTATCAAATTACAGTAATTTTTCCACCAGTACACACTTGAGGAAAGCCACAAAAAGACTTTTCCAACAGTTCATTCTGTTATTGCTCATAACCTTCTAAATACTTCTCCTCATTGGCTTCTATTCAAAGGTAAATGGAAAGCAGTAAAATTTATGGAAAATATATTCAACTGCTTAAAATACATCAACCAAAAAAAAGATTTTAGAGCTGTATTATGAGTTGTGAAATTGCATTGCCTTCACTTACCTTTCAGTTTCACTGGTAGGTAACAAAACTGACAGACTGGTCAAGTTCCAAAACATCCCCTATATAGAGCCTGACTCTTCCATCTCAAATTCTCACCTTGGTCAAGGCCAGAGTAAACACCTGTCCTTCACATTTTTACACAACATCACTTTGTATGCTACAAATATAAGCTTTCATACCAGGGAGGAAGCAAATTCCAGGACACTGGAAACATTTCTGCTCTCTTAAACCAGTCTGTTGATTGTTCCCTTGACTTTCTCAGCTGTCAGGATAGTGAAAGGAGGAAAACTGCAAAACTGTAAAGTATAACCTGATAAGTTTGCCCTTTAAGCTTTTCACACAGAGAGAGGTAAAATAAAACTCAAGTCTAAGGTTTAAAATTGAGCTATGAATATTATATTCTAGCACTAGACAAAAATGTTGCAAGATTTTAATAAAATAAGATTATTAAAATCAATTTTTACATTTCATGGGCCAAGGAGAGACATCAAAGAATGTTTAACTAACATTTTAAAGATACTATACTTTATAAAGTTAAGAAGAAAAATGACAACTGCACCAGTTCAGAAATGCCTTAGAGTAGGGAAATGAAGGAGCATTAACTATTAATAAAGCTAGAGTCTTAAAATAAATTTTAAAAAAAAGATAAGCATTGAGAAAAAATTCACCTTAATAAAACTCGGCTTAATACAGGAAAGTAGTTTATTCATCTTGCATAATACTATTTCATTTTATTTAGTCCTTTCTCTAAGGATTCTAGAGATCTTTATGAACATTATCCAGCTAAGCCTTCATTTACCAGTATAAAAGGAAAAGGCACTGACTGCTATTACATTTACAAACATCCAAGAGATAATAGCAACAACAACGACAAAAAACAGAGACATAAAATTTCAGGAAACTTCAAAGCACAGAAGACAGTAAGGAGACCCTTTCCTGGCTTGGGTTTTTTGGAAGGGAGAAAGGTGAAATGTACAATAAAAACAAATATGTGAATATTAAGACTGGCTTAAGTAAGCAAGCAGATTTGGAGTTTATTGTGCAATGGTCTTGCCACAGACTTGCAGGAAAAATAAGCTTGGTATAAACCCAGTCTACATTTCAGCATTCAAAAATAGCTTTTTTATACCAAGTCCTAAATGTGCTGCATGTTTTATAATCCCAACAAATACACTAACTTCAGGTGTCACCACTTATATTTCTGCCTTTTGAATGTTGGAAGGAAGAGATGTTCAGAAGAACAGAGTGGCTGACAAAATTCTAACTTTCATATGAAATCCCTGACAGAGTAAACATTAAGACAATGAAGTAGTTGCTACAAAAAAAAAAAAAAAAACAGCAAGGCAAGAGGAAAAAATTCCACTATTTTCAGAGGCAGGCTCAAAGAGGAAAGTGTAATAAACATCCTTGGCAATCACAGGGCACCTTGTAACGTGTTTCTATTAATATTTGTTTACATGTTTTTATCCCCACAGGTGGCTGTGATCTTGAAGGCAAAGACTTGGCTTTATAGCACCCAGCCTATCAGCCATCAGTCAAAAAAATGGACCAAGTGTTGAGTCAATTAACTTTTCTTAAATTCTCTTGACCAGAAATACTCATAGTGTTTGTATTATGTGAATTTTATCTCAAATTTTTTAAAGTACAAAAAAAAAATCATGGTCTGAATACACGTTAAAAGCCAGCTGACAGGAAAAGAGCTGTTTTAAGTTATTAGGGCAAAGCTATTTTGAAATCAGATCATAGGTCACCAGACTCTAATTTAATGGTAATATGTTTTTCAATAAACAATAAGCCCTGTAATCACATATGTATTTCTTAACCCTACATATGTCCAGTGTCCATCCAGACAAAGGAGTATACAACTGCAAAACACCCATCAAGTTATGGCTTCTCACAATTCGCAGTTGCAAAAATGTGGAACCAACCCAAATGCCCATCGATCAATGAGAAGATAAAGAAACTGTGGTATATATGCCATGGAATACTACACAGCCATAAAAAGGAATGAATGAATGGCATTCGCAGCAGTCTGGATGAGACTGGAGAATATTATTCTAAGTTAAGTAACCCAGGAATGGAAAAAACAAACATTGTATGTTCTCAATCATAAGTAGGAGCTAAGCTATGATAATGCAAAGGCATAAGAATGACACAACGGACTTTGGGGACTCAGGGGGAATGGGTGGGAAGAGGGTAAGGGATAAAAGAATACAAATTGGGTGCAGTATATACTGTTCAGGTGATGGGTGCACCAAAATCTCACAAATCACCACTAAAGAACTTACTCATGTAACCAAACACCACCTGATCCCCAATAACGTATGGAAATAAAATTTAAAAAAAAAGAAATCTCCCATGTGTTTACCATATTGTGAGCACTCATTTGGACTAACAAACATTTCTAAAAAGACCTTAGATTAAAAATTATGAAACATAGGCAACAAATAAAAATTAGAATATAAATTTTCTTTTAGAAGTTATGGCTTCTAGGTCTGCTGATTGGCATGCTGTTGAAATTATAATTTACCTTCCTTATTTAGATGTAAACAGATTCCATAATACTAGGTTCCACCATAGGAAGAAGAGATTCAGAGTGCTGTTTTGGTGGTTTTTTCTTTTTTTTTTTTTCCTTATTGGAAAAAATACGCTAAAGTTTAAAAAAAAAAAAAAGGAACAATTCCAAGAGAGATCCAGAGTTAAAAGGAACTTTGAGGAAATCTAGAGAACTGCTTTGCTTCAGGCTCCCTCCTATCCTCATATCTTGAATCTATTATGTTTCCAAGAAATGTAAAGACCACCACACAGGTTGGAGGACTGATTGGTAAATGGCCCTGGAGTTCCTGAACCAAGCACTTGTCCCTCATCTATATGCATTCATTGATCCCCAGATACTAAGATTCCCCTCAGATTGAAACAACAAAGAATCTCATTCAACTAAAAATGTGATCTTTGGTATTGTGCTCCAATTTGGAAAGGTCAAGTCCACGCCAGCCAGCATTGTAGGCAATTAGCTAACATCACACCTACTGTCCCTGCCCCACAAATTAAAATCCTGGAGCAAAAATACAATACGGCCACAGTCCAAAGAAAGGAAAATGAAAACTTCAGTAGAAGGATGCAAAGGGCAAAGATATTATTATTGATTACCCAGTCTAAACTCATAATACTGACATCAATGACTAGAAGAATACAGAGCTTTCACATGATCTGTCAGGTTTCACTAGCTAGACTGTAAGATGGCAGGGCAGGAACCCTCTTCTCTTTATTCTCATTGTATTATACAAACCCTAAAATTAATACCGATATTTTGTATGTCCCCAAGAAACTGTCTGAATGACATTAATATGTATATTCCTCATAAAAAGATGAAGTCATTTGTTCAGAGTTCACTGTCACAATCAAACCTCTAACTTGGCAGCAGAAAGAAAAACCACCCACACTCCACTAATACCTTTTTTACTGACCCGATAGCAGGGAACTGAAATAAACGACCAACATCTACTCAGTGACCCCACTGAAGTAAAAGAGGAATGCATGTCTGAACAAGAATATTTATAAGAAGTTTTCTAAGCACGAATATTCCTTTTGGAAAATGTTCTGGCCCCAAGCCTCAACACAAACTCCTTTTCTATGACAGCCTGCCTTAACACACAGCATCTGTTTATTGACTAAATCATAGACATAACACATTTGCAAAGTAAAAATAAATTAAATATCCATACACACAGCTTTCTTTTCTACACTATTAGTCAAAAAGCACAAGTGTAATATGCTGAGGCACTAACCTCTGGCTTAAAGACAAATGGAATTACCATACTACTCTACCACACATTGTTTAAAAATGCAGAGCACAATTCTTGAGTTAATTTGTCACTTGAAAAAATCACTGTGCTTTTATGATGAGAATTCATTTATGAGAAGCTCTTAGCACAGTTTTCCCCTTAACCTTCTCAATTTATCTTACATTTGCTACTCTTCCACAGCAAACTTTTATGTGCAATTTTAAGGCTGTGTAATGTAAGTTACAAGGGCACTAGTCTTTGAAACTCAAAGAACAATCTAATGAAAATGAGGTGATGCCACCAGCTGGCAATGATTTGCCGTCTCCTGACCCGACATCCTAAAATATATGATTGAACAGGATTTTGAAAGGTATCTGTGGAAGGCAAAAGAAGAGGGGTTTTATTTGACTGTGAAATGGGGAAATTATATCTATATCTAAGTTTTGTTTTAAAGAAAAATAAGGAAAAGCAAAAAAGAAATCCACAATTTTAAAATTATCCATTTCCTTTAGAGACAATAATGATTTAATGTGCCAGTAAACAGTCTTTTAGACATAATGAACTTTTGAGAATTTTCTAGGCATCATTCAAGCATATTTGGAAGCAACCAGAACGTGAGTGTAGTGGGAGTGTCCAAGCTTTTATGTGATGGGTAAACCTAGTTTTTAGTGATGTCATCACCTGTAAGCCTTAGTGTCATCACCTGTAAAAATAGGGCTAATATCCTCCTGCTCTATATGTCTCACAGTATCAAATTTTAAAAAGAAGCTATACCTGAAATTACTGGATAAGCTGGAAAGCACTATCCAAATGCATTACTATTGTTGATGGCAACAAGTAAGCACTGTTCTCAAACACCAAAAACAGAAAAGCAAGATTGCACAAGTATAGAACCAGTCTTACTTGACTTAATGTATACAGTAACGCCTGAGTAGACAAGACAAGCTAATATAGGATTGTGAAATTTAAACCAAAAGGTCTTCCAGTTCAAATGGCTGCAAATCTTGTGAACACTTCTTAAAACTATTATCCAAAAGCAACTAAAGCAATGGTAAATCAGCTTTTTTGAGGGAAGAGGGTAAAAGGCAATAGAGCCTTTTCAGAATCTCATGAAGACTACTGACCTTCCACTCACAAAAAGTATAACCACATATTCAAGCAAAGCTTATTTTTCTGCTATCAGGGGTGGTTCTTGGGATCCCAGGCTAGGAATCCCTCACTGCAGGATACTGAATAACTGCCTAGTGAATCATAAAGACACTGAGAACAGGAACAGGTTCATAATGATAACAAAGTACCCCAGATCAGATGATCATGATTACATAGGTGCTGCCCTTAAGGAAACCCTCCATCAGACCTTCACAGTAGACAGGCGGCTGAAAGGTCTATAATTCCCAAGTTACCTTAGCAGTATTCAGACAAATGAGGCCCTGGTAAGTTAAGCAGAAAATCACTTCCTTTGATAAATGACCAGCCTTCCAACTAAGGTAACATCTAAAACTTAGTGTACATACACATCCAGTGGCTACTTTAGAATGTCTACAGAAATGGGGCATGGGGTGGCAATCTAATTGGAAGTCCAACCTAGGGTATTAGTTTTGAAGCTAAAGTTGCCTGAGACTTCACGTAAGAGTGAAAAAAATACTGAGTTTCCATAGCAAAGCAAGAAGAATGCTAATAGAAAGGGGATGCAGGGTTAAGGCACCCCAGGCCAGCCTTTGGCATTGCCACTGGATTCACTGACACCAGTGGTTCTCAAACTGTAACATGCAACAGAATCACCCAAAAAGTTTATTAAATACAAATTGCTTGGGCTCCAGCCTCAAAGTTTCTGATTCAGGAGATCTAGTCACAAATTTGTATTCTTTTTTTTTTTTTTTTTTTTTTTTGAGATGGAGTCTCGCTCTCTCACCTAGGCTGGAGTGCAGTGGCGCAATCTCGGCTCACTGAAAGCTCTGCCTCCTGGGTTCACGCCATTCTCCTGCCTCAGCCGCCGGAGTAGCTGGGACTACAGGTGCCTGCCACCACACCCAGCTAATTTTTTTGTATTTTTAGTAGAGACGGGGTTTCACTGCGTTAGCCAGGACGGTCTCAATCTCCTGACCTCGTGATCCGCCCTCCTCGGCCTCCCCAAGTGCTGGGATTACAGGCATGAGCCAACATGCCCGGCTTTTTTTTTTTTTTTTTAAGTTCCGGGATACATGTGCAGAACGTGAGCGTTTGTTACATAGGTATACATGTGCCATGGTGGTTTGCGGCACCTATCAACCCATCATCCTGGTTTTAAGCCCTGCATGCATTAGGTATTTGTCCTAATGCTCTCCCTCCCCTTGCCCTCCACCCCCTGACAGGTCCTGGTGTGTGTCGTTCCCCTCCCTGTGTCCATGTGTTCTCATTGTTCAACACCCAATTATAATTGAGAACACGTGGTGTTTGATTTTCTGTTCCTGTGTTAGTTTGCTGAGGATGATGGCTTCCAGCTTCATCCATGTCCCTGCAAAGGACATGATCTCATTCTTTTTTATGGTTGCATAGTATTCCATGGTGTATATGTACTACATTTTCTTTTCTTTATCCAGTCCATCACTGATAGGTGTTTGGGTTAGTTCCATGTCTTTGCTATTGTAAACAGTGCTGGAGTAAACATATGTGTGCATGTATCTTTACAGTAGAGTGATTTATAATCCTTTGAGTATATACCCAGTAATGGGATTGCTGGGTCAAATGGTATTTCTGGTTCTAGATCCTTGAGGAATCACCACACTGTCTTCCACAATGGTTGAACTAATTTGCATTCCCATCGACAGTGTAAAAGTGTCCCTATTTCTCCACAGCCTCACCAGCAACTGTTGTTTCTTGACTTTTTAATAATCACCATTCTGACTGGCACGAGATGGTATCTCATTGTGGTTTTGATTTGCATTTCTCTAACGATCAGTGATGTTGAGCTTTTTTCATATGCTTCTCGGCCACATAAATGTCTTCTTTTGAGAAGTGTCTGTTCATATCCTTTGCCCACTTTTTGATAGGGCTGTTTTTTCTTGTAAATTTATTTAAGTTCCTTTTAGATTCTGAATATTAGACCTTTGTCAGATGAGTAGACTGCAAAAATTTTCTCCCATTCTGTAGGTTGCCTGCTCACTCTGATGCTAGTTTCTTTTGCTTCGCAGAAGCTCTTTAGTTTAATTACATTCCATTTCTCAATTTTGGCTTTTGTTGCAATTGCTTTTGGTGTTTTCATCATGAAGTCTGCCCAGGCCTATGTCCTGAATGGTATTGCCTAGGTTTTCTTCTAGGGTTTTTATGGTTTTGGGTTTTACATTTAAGTCTTTAATCCATCTTGAGTTAATTTTTTTATAAGGTGTAAGGAAAGGGTCCAGTTTCAGTTTTCTGCATGTGACTAGCCAGTTTTCCCAGCACCATTTATTAAGTAGGGGATCTTTTCCCCATTGCTTGTTTTAGTCAGGTTTGTCAAAGATCAGATTGTTGTAGATGTGTGGCATTATTTCTGAGGTCTCTGTACTGTTCCATTAGTCTATATGTCTGTTTTGGTACCAGTACAGTGCTGTTTTGGTTACTGTAGCCTTGTAGTATACTTTGAGGTCAGGTAGTGTGATGCCTCCAGTTTCGTTCTTTTTGCTTAGGATTGTCTTGGCTATATGAGCTCATTTTTGGTTCCATATGAAATTTAAAGTAGTTTTTCTAATTCTGTGAAGAAAGTCAAGGGTAGTTTGATGGGAATAGCACTGAATCTATAAATTACTTTGGGCAGTATGGTCATTTTCATGATATTGATTCTTCCTATCCATGAGCATGGAACGTTTTTCCATTTGTTTGTGTCCTCTCTTATTTCCTCGAGCAGTGGTTTGTAGTTCTCCTTGAAGAGTTCCTTCATGTCCCTTGTAAGTTGTACTCCTAGCTATTTTATTCTCTTTGTAGCAATTGTGAATGGGAGTTCACTCATGATTTGGCTCTCTGCTTGTCTATTGTTGGTGTCTACAAATGCTTGTGATTTTTGCATAATGATTTTGTATCCTGAAACTCTGCTGAAGTTGCTTACCAGCTTAAGGAGTTTTTGGGCTGAGACGATGGGGTCTTCTAAACATAGAATCATGTCATCTGCAAACAGACAATTTGACTTCCTCTCTTTCTATATGAATACCCTTTATTTCTATGTTGAATAGGAGTGGTGAGAGAGGCCATCCTTGTCATGTGCCAGTTTTCAAAGGGAATGCTTCCAGCTTTTGCCCATTCAGTATAATATTGGATGGGTTTGTCATAGATAGCTCTTATTATTTTGAGATATGTTCCACCAATACCTAGTTTATTGAGAGTTTGTAACATGAAGGGATGTTGAATTTTATCAAAGGCCTTTTCTGCATCTACTGTGATAATCATGTGGTTTTCGTTGTTGGTTCTGTTTATGTGATGGGTTACTTTTATTGATTTGTGTTTGTTGAACCAGCTTTGCATCCCAAGGATGAAGCCTACTTGATCGTGGTGGACAAGCTTTTTGATGTGCTGCTGGATTTGGTTTGCCAGTATTTTATTGAGGATTTTCGCATGGATATTGATCAGTGATATTAGTCTGAAGTTTTTTGTTGCTGTTGTATCTCTGCCAGGTTTTGGTATCAGGATGACGCTGGCCTCATAAAATGAGTTAGGGAAGAGTCCCTCCTTTTTCAATTGTTTGGAATAGTTTCAGAAGGATTGGTATCAGCTCCTCTTTGTACCTCTGGAAGAATTCAGCTATGAATCTGTCTGATCCTGGGCTTTTTTTGGTTGGTAGGCTATTAATTACTGCCTCAATTTCAGAATTTGTTACTGGTCTCTTCAGGGATTCGATCTCGCTGGTTTAGTCTTGGGAGGGTGTATGTGTTCAGGAATTTATCCATTTCTTCTAGATTTTCTAGTTTATTTGCGTAGAGGTGTTTATAGTATTCTCTGATGGTAGTTTTTGTTTTTGTTTTTCTTTTAAAGAGACAGGGCCTCACTCTGTCACCCAGGTTGCAGTGCAATGGTGCGATCACAGCTCATTGCAGCCACGGACTTCTGGGCTCAAGGGATCCTCTCTAGTAGCTGAGACTACAGGTGTGCACCACCATGCCTGGCTAATTTTTAAAACATTTTGTAGAGGCAGAGTCTCACTATGTTGCCCAGAGTGGTCTCAAATTCCTGGCCTCAAATGATCCTCACCTCAGCCTCCCGAAGTGCTGGGATTACAGCCATGAGCCATGGCACCCAACCCCCAAGAATTTGTATTCTAACAAGTTTTGGAAGATGCCTATGCTGCTAGTCAGGGGACCACACTTTGACAATCACTGATCTACACAATTAGAGCCTATCTCATCTAGTACACTCCAATCTCTTAAGTGCTATCCAGATGCCATACTCATCATCAAATAAAAAAGTGAGTACCACTCTGTCACTCAGGTCAGCCTCTCACCTGTGGTACCTACAGTGTATGCTGGTTGGGCTGAACATTCAAGATACACAATAAGCTTCCTGATGACTGGTGAGTGTCTGTAGGTAATACACACTACAGACAAATGCAGAGGAAGAACTTGGAGCAGTTTTGTTTTAAAATTTTACCCTCAGGAAGCAATATACAAGCAAACTGGTGCTAAACGGTGCTAGAAGGATTTACTTAATATAGTAGTCCTTCATTACTCCAGAACTATGGTCTTCAAAGTGAGGTCCACAGAGCCCCCAGATACCTTGAAGGTTGGGTTGGGTGGAGAGTGGAGAAATGATGGAGGCATTTGGCCTTTCATCTGTGTTCCTCTCTAAACCAGAAGTTCAGCTTTCTCTGACTTACATATTGGGATAAATTATATTTTTAATGGTTTTACTATCCCTTTAGAGGGAATAAAAGGCTTAAAAACCACCAGATTTGATTACCTCTAGGAGTCCCTCCATTTCTGTGATTCTATTATAATACAACAATCACTGGCTAAATGACACATTACAGAAATAAAAATATTGCTGGGCATGGTGGTGTGTACTTATAGCCCCAGCTACTTGGAAAGGTGAGGCAGGAGGACTGCTGGAGCCCAGGAGTGGGAGTTCAAGTCCAGCCTGGGCAACACTGTGAGACCCCATTTCTTGAAAAAAGGGTAAAAAATAAGTAAATAAACAATAAAAATATCAAACTGGCTAAGGAGGCTGACAGAAGGCTATATCAGAATGAGAGGTTAGGAGTCAGATCATATTCATGTCTGGTAGGAAGATCTGGATATCATATATAGGAGCTTCCAAATTCACCAAGGGCAGTAACCAAACCTCTCTAAATGGAATGTAAAAAATAGAAAAACTCAGGGGTAATTATCTTTATTTAATCTTGCCTGATCTATCAGACACCTTGCAGAAACCAGGGTATTTTTCAGTCAGTGTCATGGTGATACTGTGAGACACAGAACAAAATGCCACATGCTCGGTATTGTCATCAGACAAGGCCACCTACCAAACAGTTAAAACTTTTCTTTGTGACACATAATTGGAAGCTACTGGGCAAGTTGTGCATAAAATACTAGGATCATTACTGTAGAGCACAACTGGACCACATTTAAAAGGAAAGAACAGAAGGCTGGGGGCATATATTTTACGAGTAGCTTTAATTTATGTCACCCATAATTCTAGAGTTCAAAACCATCTGCAAGGGGCAAAGGAGGAAGTGTAATCTTCTAATTGGAAGGTCATCCATTCCTGGAATGCCAAAATTGTCTGTGACGATCAAGGTGCCCTGTCATGACACAGAAGATATGGATTCAGTATAAAACAGAAAGGATAATAAGAACCTCTTCAAAGCTACTGGCATCTCTGACATACCATCATTCTACTTTCAACCATCCCTCCCCAATGCCACCTTCTTTGGCTAGGGCATCACCAGAGGTAGGAAGAAAAGATGGTCTCAACAAGTCTATGACTTGCAATCCAGTTCCAACAGATGGCCTAAATCACTCAGCAAAACCCATCTCTTCTAAACCAAAACAGCCAGAATGTGCCCATGCTCTAGGTACCATGGCAGGGTGTTAAGTATTCATTATTTCATTCAACAAAAATATTTTCTGAGTTGCTTTGGCAATGATGAATAACACACAGCCCCAAATCTCAAGGAGCTCACAGGAGCTCTAAAAGACCTACCCTCAACCGGCCAACACTGTGAAGTCATACCTAATAATGCAGGGAACTGGATTAGAATCTAAAGTCAAACCAAGGCAGCAATTACAAATAGTAAAACTACCCTTGAAAACTCCATGTAATTCCGCATAAAATACAATACTAAGTCATCTCTCAGTAAGTCCACAATAAGCCATCCAGAAAAGACTATTGTCTGTTCAGGTAAACATCAGAGAAAGTAACCAGCTTGCATTTTATGGGCCATGCTGTTCAGACCAAAATGCTCTCACTCTGAGAGGAAATTAAATCTCCCCTATAAACAGCAGGCTCACAACTCCCATCTTATGCTCACTCCAGGACTATGCTCATCAAATTTCAATTGCTATTTCCTGCCCTTCTTTCTTCTTTTGGCCAGGTGCATTAGTTGAATTCCCATGAGTGAAATATGCATATATGACTCCTCTGTAATATCATCATCTTAATATTTACTCAAAGGCATGCCAAAAATTCCACCATTTCTTTGAGTTATGTAACATACTATGAATCCTTCTTTTGAATGTAAATATATAACACAGAAAGGGTTATAAATTAACCCTACACAAGAGAATGAATGATTTTACCAATTAGCTCCAGTTATCTGAAGAATCTAGTGAAACTATCTGAAGAAACTGTTCAGACAGTGAACAGGTAAGTATTGGCATGTAGAAAGAAAACCAAGAAAGATACGGAACATGAAGTACACCCCCAGCACACTGGGTCCTGTCAGGGAACAATGTGAACCCATGGTGCATCTCAGGAAGAGGCTTAGAGGGAGCAAAATAAGGACCTTAATGATACATATTAGAATATGGTCAGCCTTACCCTCAAAATACATTTATTTTACTTTATTTTTTAGAGACAGGGTCTCACTCTGTTGCCCAGGCTGGAGTACAGTGGTATGATCACAGCTCACGGCAACCTCAACTTCTCAGCTCAAGGGGTCCTACCAACTCAGCCTCCCAAGTAGCTGGGACTATAGGCATGCACCACCATGCCTGGCTAATTTTTTAATATTCTGTAGGGACAGAGTCTCCCTTGTTGCCCAGACTGGTCTCGAACTTCTGGCCTCAAACAATCCTCCCACCTCAGCCTCCAAAAGTGTGGGATTACAGGCGTAAGCCACTGTGCCTGACCTACCCTCAATATATTACAGAGTCGATCCCATGCCCAAAGTCCTTCAGGTCAGGGATAATTCAAGAAAAAGAAATGAGCCTGTTAGGTTACCCTGATCTGACTCGATTAGGCTATCCAATCACTTACACAGTCCCAACTGCTACAGTCTTCCACTTCCTTCAATGTCACACATAACTGCCGTGGCTCCACATTTCCCTGGAGGCTAATATAGCCCCTACATTCTTTTCCATTTTTAAAATTTTAAAATTTTATTTTTAATTGGCATATGATAATTATACATATCCATGGGGTACCTAGCGATGTTTTGATACATATAATGTATAGTGATCAGATCAGTGTAATTAGCATATTCATCGTCTCAAACATTTATCATTTCTTTGTGTTGGGAACATTCAATATTTACCTTCTAGCTATTTGAAACTATATTTTATTATTAACTATAATCATCCTACCATGGTATTGTCACGAGAATGAGTGCCATGCCCACCATACCTCACCTCACACTTAGGTAGGCAGCATCAACAAAATAAGCCTGACCATTTGCTGGGAAACCTGGCCCTCTCCTATTCCCAGAGATGCATGTATGTATTATTTCATCCAACAAGTTTTCTCAAAAAACATCCTGCTTCTTCCTAAACATCTCTTCACCTCCCTTTTTTTCAGTCCTCTTTCCTTTATATGGCAGAACATAGGTTCTGCTGGCTTTGCCCATGAGGAGGCTGCACACTTAACCCTTGTTTGTTCTCCAACATGCTATCATTATTTTCAGCTAGCTGGGCACACTTTCCTATTTGTCCTCTCCAGATTCCACCTTATCTTCATCTGGTTTTCTTCAACCTTCTAATTATCTCATGCTTAGCCTCTAGTTCCCTAGAAGAATAGATGGCATACTTAAATGCAAAAAGGCACAAAAGAAAATAATTTATACCAGTCAAATAAACTTCATATCCATTGCCATACAACCACACAATTTAAGCCCTATTTCATTTTCCTAAACACAAATGCTTCAGAAATCCTCCACTCTTCCACAACAGCCTTAAAATCCTTCATCTCTTCATTTCCTTCCTTCAGTGAATTCCTAATCTGCTCAGAACTTTTACCTGACCTCGGTCCATACTTATCATGATCTTAAATTCTTCAGCTGATTTTGGAAATGAAAAATTTTAAGCAGGCAATTAAAAAAGACTAGTAAATCTGTTCTTGACAGGACTAGACTTAACTCTAATGAGACAATATGACAACTACATGGCCTGCTGCCAAGGTATCAGGAGCAGTTTAAGAATTAGACTCAAAATAGCTGATACAATCTGAAAGACAGAGTGACCCTCTCTATACACTTAATCTTTGCTTGGTTTGCACTGTGTGCAAGATATGAAACTTAAAATATTAAGACAGCAGTTAAGGAAGAGACCATCAAATTAAGACTCAGGAAAAGGTGGTGGTGGTGGTAGGTACAACAGCAGAAACACACTAACTAGATGTGAGTAGCTATTTTTATCTGCAGGGTATATGAAATATGTAATACATAGTTTTCCCAAATGTTGTGCTCTGAAACACTTCATTCATTTTTTTGTCCAGCCATGGGAAATAAAATGATCACTTATTTGCTAAAATGTTTACCTCTCTCACACAAATTTAAACCTAATAACAGGAAGACCTTTAACGCAGGGCCTCTAAAAGCTGATTTAAATGTAGAACATATTAAAAATTTACCCACATTTTAAATAAACAGTATGTTGGTATTCACATTACCATAATAATGTATCCTCAAATATCAAAAAGAAGTGTTATTTTTCAATATGTAGCCACAAATTCAAAAATAAATGTTTTCCTATATTGGGAGAAAATTAAACTCTTAAAAACATAAACAATCATAAGCATTCAAAATAGCAATCTAAAGATTCCCTTTATTTCATTTGTCCATAAAATTAAGAGCATCTGTCATATGATAAAAAATATATATACAAAAAGCTGAATTCCAAGTGTATGCAAAAGGTCTTTCTCATTCTTGCTCTCTCTCCGTCAACCTTAATAAATAGTTGTTGTTTTTGGTAGCTCTACAACAAGGGTATTAACACTTAAAGCCATTCTAGCTTCAGCCACTGTTCTGGTTTCTTGCTTCTGTCGCAAACCAACACTGAAGGTAAATAACAAAGATTAATGCAGTACTACCTTGAAGAAGCAATTAAAAAGAGGCTGAAAAGCAGCAACCAAACCCCAAACCATTTGCTCTTCCACAATAGGAAGCTGAAGATAATCTCGTTTGCTAAACATAAATCACTTGAGATCTGGCCAAATTCTTAAATGATATTACAGATGGAAACGCTGCAAAGTCAGGTGCTGCTTACATAAGTATTTACTTCCAACTTGGAAAACAAACTAGACCAGTTTTTCTTGTTCCTTTTAGGAAAGTGATCATTTTAAACCATGAAACAGTTAACAGAAGGGATTCCCTAGACCCACTCTTGCTGGACTTTTGGTCCCACCCGTACTCACTTTGAGACGTATTAGGTTTCTTGAAACTAAATTTGCTTCCTTATCCTTCAGTATCTATTTAAAAGTCTTTAGGTAGCAGAAAGTAAACTCCATCAATCAATCTTACCTTCTTATATATTTTTGTAGTATATTCACTTTTTTTCAGGAACAAAAGTCAAGATATACTCCGGTAATACTTTTTGTGCACGTGTGTGTATATATATACTTTAAAAAAAAATTCTCTTTAGGGCTCTGTGAGGTTTATGCAAGCAGCCCTCTCACAGAGGCCACTGTGTTTCCCAGGGTTTATGTTCACATGCAGCTGGTCATACGAACAGATTGGCTTTACTTTTCATTTCCTTGTGTTAAAGTCACTTAGAGAAGGTTTGAGAACTACAAGGTATAACAAGTCACTTGTTCGTTTAAAGGTGCTATGTTAACAGCAAATATTTTGGTGGTGCTGGTTGGTTCAATAACCAAGAGTTTGTGAGGATACTTTCTCTATGACCCTTTTTCTGCTAAATATTACAGGAAATGCCAGTGATCCTGATAGAGATCCACTATGCCCAAGAAAAGCGACTCTGTGGTGTGTGAGTAGGAGCCGACTAAGATAAGCCAAACAAAAGACAGTCCCTTGCGCCCAGACTAAAACCCCATTCAGTTTTAAAGTGTACTGCAACAAGAAGCCCTGGATTAAATGTCAACCCCATACATTTTAGTTATTTATTCTACAGTTCTAGATATTCCCAAATACACAGTTAAGGACAGCCAGGGTACAAAATATTCCAGTAGACCTTACTCAAATCTGCCAAAACCTACATTAAAAGCTCCTACTAAACTTCCATTTAGTCTGATTTTCCCCTCCTATATGCTGCACAGACACCCCCACCCCCAAACCCACACACATCTTCTGCACCTCACAGGAACTATTACTTTCTTTACCCTCTACCAAAGAAATCACTTCCCAAAGTACCTGGTGAAGACTTTCCTAGAGCCTGTTCACACCACAGCAGACCTGGCTAGGCTGTTTCCTCCTCCTTATAGGACCAAGAACACTGCCCCTTTTTCCAGGCCTGGCTTCTTCCCCCAAGGCCACAAAACTGGTTGGTGCCAACACTCTGAGTAGCTTAACCACTGACTATTTTCTTCCAAGTGCAATTCAAAGTTCTGTGGCCTAAAAGCAAAACACATCACAGAGCTCATGATTCTGAGTTAGACAAACCTGGCTTTCACTCTGCTACTTATGACCTCTGCGACATGGGCAAAGAACCTCTCTAAGCCTCAGTTTCATCTCTAAGGTGGGGATAATAATAACATTTACCTTTACTGTGAAGACAGAATAAGATAGCACATGTGCCTGGCACATAGTAAGTGCTCAATAAATGTTAGCTATTTTTTACAATCATTATCATTACATGACTACTCTACTACCATTATCACTACAGGGACCATAAACTGGTAGGCTTCAAGCCAAATCTGGATTTCCTGTTTGGCCATCAAAATATATTTCTGTTTTTGTTTTATTTTAATTACCTTTGGAGATAGAAGTATTTTCCAGTCTGTCATAGTTCTTACCATTCCTCCCTAGAAACTTATATTCATATTATACTACCTGCCTGGCCTCTGAGTTTGTGATCCCCACCCCTCCAAAAAAGGTCTCAGAGATACCTAAAAAAGGGGCGGAAGGGGAGTTAAATCAAAGACATTATAGAACTAGGGCAGCCAGACAGTATACTAAAAAACACCTTTTTTAAAAACACAGAAAGGAGCCACTAATTTCCAAAAAGGTTAAGATTTCTCAATCAGTCAAAAGACATATATGTGACAGGTGGAGGGAAAAGGAATAAACTCTACTTTGCAGTTTTACAGTCAGTAATAAGTTCTGGAACATGGAGAATTTGTGAGGTTCTTCTAAAACACAAAACCCCTCTCTCCCTTTCCTGGTAGGGCACAACACGGATAGACCAAATAGAATAATTTCAGATTCAGAAAGCACACTTCCAGGGCCAGGGCTCTTCCCTACATGCAGAAGGCCACTGCTCAGGCAATTTCCTGTTCCAAATGCACCTGTCAGTGGTCAAGGGCTTAAATTCACCTAATAGCTTCACACATATCAGAAACTTTAAGTTGTCTGACATTTCATATTTTTCTATTCTTACTTAGCCCACACAGGTTTTCCATTAATGATAAAAGGACATAACTAATAATTCAGAAACACATACCTTCTTAACATACATCATTTATGGGGAAAAAAACTGTTAAAATTACCAAAAAAGCCCCACTACAAGACCATATTTACCTATTACAGAGATTTATTGATATGAGAAAACTAAACAACTATAACTCTCTAATTTATTAGAAAATCTCCTTCTGTCATTCCCAGAAGTCTATCCATTGAAAAGATCCTCTTTAAAATAATGTCATTAGCTTTCAAATACTCTAAAATAATCACAATAATACTGTAAAATAAAAACAAATAGGTTTTTTTCAAGCTATACAAAAATTTTTTGAAATAACTGCAAAGTAAAAGGTAGACAGGGCCAAAATTATTGTCACAATAACCAATACAACAATCTCATATGAATCCAACTCATTATTTTTATGGAATCTGTTTACCCTCTGCTCTGGGAATCCAATGTAAATGCAATCAAAATCATTTACATTGAAAAAAAAGTAAGGGCATAACAATAGTTATTTCTAAGTGGCCAGATTATAGATGATTTATTTTTCTTTTGTGTGTTATGTGTATGTTTTCTAAGTCTTCTGCTCTATAAAAGTTATACTTTCATTATGAGATTTTAAATGTTTATATATTTTAACAATACTGTATGTAACCATGATTGGTGGATCAGGGTACATTTCCAAAGTGCCCTTAAGAAGTCCCATAAGGAGTCAGAAGTAAATGTGCAGAAAGTAGCTCTCTACCTGATTTTCCTTATTTGCTTTCCCTTCATTTCATCTTCCGAGAGGTTTAATGCCCAACTCTCCTCACTTGAGTTCCACAGCACTCCAGCTCTGTACCACACAATGAAATCCTTAGTCCTTTCCACCACCCGCTGGCCCTGTCTTTTACTTTGCATTTATTTTGAAAAAATTTTGTAAACCTTGAAAAAAGCCCATTTGTTTTCATTTTAGAGTACTGAAAGCTGATGTTATTTTAAAAAGAACCTTTTCAATGGATAGACTTTCGGGAATGACAGAAGGTGATGGAGATTTTCTAATAAATTAGAGAGTTATGGTTGTTTAATTTTATCATGTCAATAAATCTCTGTAATAGGTAAATATCTTTACAGTCCTACAGTGGGTTTTTTTTGGTGCCTTAACAGCTTTTTTTTCCATAGATGATGTATGTTAAGAAGGTATGTGTTTCTGAATTATCAGTTATGTCCTTTTATCACTAATGGAAAACCTGTGTGGGCAAAGTTAGAACAGGAAAATATTAAATTTTTCTATTCTGTTCTCTAGGGCTCAGTGCTTCCATCTAATATTCCAGACTGCTTTCAACAGGAACTGTGTTTTATATGTTTTATATACTTCCACAGAGTTTAATGTAGCTCTCAACAAACAGCAGACTCCTGGTATCTATTTGTTAAACATAAATGAAACAACTAATCAATCAATTAATTAACAGTAAAGTAAACCCAGCTCTCTGCCTCTTTGCCTTCAGAAGCAGTGCTATATTCTGTGTAATAACAAAGACTGAAATGTGGTCCCACTGACCAAGATCAGGACCACTGATGGAAGGCTTTCAGAAAATACCCACAGCACTGAAGGAAGAAGTGGCATCTCCCTGAACCGGCTCTGAACTTCCAAAATATGAGGAAAAGACCTGGGGGGTGGGCCACACCTCAAGAAAGTAATGAAATTGACTCCTAGTCCTTCCATGGTTCCTTTGGAAAGGCATGCAGTGCTAGCTCTAGACTCCTAATCCAGCCTCACTATTACAAAGAGAATTAAACCAGCAAACAGTAGGAGGCAGGAGTAGCTGATCCCTGCTGAGGGATGACCTGCCCTCCTTTAATGACAGCAGTGGTTATCTCAGTTTACAAAGCCTATAAAGCATTGGCAAGGTTTTTAGAGTTCTTACACAAGGTGCTATTATTACAGTGACACTGAAGACTGGCTAACAATAGAGGAAACATCTTTATATTCTTTGGCTTTGATAGCTTTAATTATATTTTCTGTGAATTTTCAAACCAGTAAGTGTACAAACTGCATGAAGAAAAATATAAGTTGTGTGTGTAAAATTAATTTTACTAAGCCTCATGATGCTACTGTTGGTCCTTAACATTGTGAACTTGTAATTGTTAAACTAAGCAGCTTCAGAGTCAAATCATCATCTATACAAATCAGAGTTCAGAATGGCAAAATGTGGGGAAGGGTTCCTGGATTTGCCCTCCCAATAAGATCTGGTATCTCTGTTCCAAACCACAGTGAAGAATGATTTTTGTTTTGCCAGCGTAAGCCACCAAGAATTGCAACTAGGTTATGGGGAAATCCACATAAGGGGCCAAGGAAAATTAACATTAAGCCACATAATCTTTTCCATTTTCACACACAAGCTAAAAGTTAAGGAACGTATTTATAAATATTCCTACCTCAACTTCTTTGACGCTAACCTTCCAGGCAGTTATAACGAAACATTCATAGTCAAACATTGAGTTCTCATGATTTCAAAAATGTCCTTCAACACCCAAGTGTATCACCTGGAAAAAAAAAAAAAAGTCCTTCAGAAAAACACCTGTGCATTTCCCAGACCTTTTGTGTTTTACTATAATCTCTGCTTCGGATTTCTAAGGCCTAATTTGCCTCAACCTTGCTCTGTTTTCTTCATTGGACTGGAAGTTTTAGGGACATGCGTGTTTTAAACAAACACAGCTATAAACACTTAGGAATATAAAAATTTTACATTGAGGGAAAAAGGTAACAAACTTACTAGCCTCTTTAGTTCTGCAAAAGAGCTATTTCAGAGTCTCTGTAGTGGAAAATGCCTGCATTTTGGCATAGCTTGTTCTGTGTCATACAAGCAGACCCAAAGTTACCTATAGGAACAGTCTTTGGCCCAAACAGGGAGGAAAAGAAATGGCTGCCTGTCTTTCACACCAATAACTCCAATGGCTCTTGATGTGCCTCCAATGTGATATGCCTAAATCAATAGGTATATGAATGCCATATCACAACCCTTTAAGAATCAACTCTCTGTCTTAATCCAGTGATAATTAAAAACCCATATTTTAACACTTTTCCATAATAAAATCAAAAGGACATTGTATTATACCTGAAAGCTGTGATGCCCAGTAATATCACTTCTAGGAAATGTATATTATGTACATTCCTATGGGAAAAAATTATGTAAAAAATGTTTATTCATCACAGCATTACCTGTAATAACGAATATTTGGTTTTTAAAAAGTGTCCCATAAGGAAGTGGCTAAATATATTATTATATATTCATAGGATGAAATACTATGAAAAATTATAAATCGTGGTTTTTGGTGTTTTTGTTTTGTTTTGTTTTTGTTTTTGTTTTTGTTTTTGAGATGGAGTTTCGCTCTTGTTGCCCTGGCTAAAGTGCAATGGTGCTATCTCGGCTCACCGCAACCTCCGCCTCCCAGTTCAAAAACCGCCACCTCCGCCTCCCAGTTCAAGCGATTCTCCTGCCTCAGCCTCCCCAGTAGCTGGGATTACAGGTATGCGCCACCACGCATTTGTGTTTTTAGTAGAGACAGGGTTTCTCCATGTTGGTCGAGCTGGTCTCGAACTCCCGACCTCAGGTGATCCGAAATCAGGTTTTTAGAATAAGAATAATATCAACTCAGCATTTATAATATCTCATGCCTGTTCTGAATACTTTACACACATTAATAAGTTTGTTGTATGTGTTACATGAATTTAATGCATACAATAAACTTGTACGGTGAGTATATTATCATTATCTCCATTATTATCCCTATTGTAGATGACAAAATAAGGCACTGAGAGGTTAAATGACTTGTCCAAGATTGCATAGCTAAGTGGCAAAGCTTGTAGAATATTTAATGGTATGGAAAAATGCTTATATCATAATAGCAAATGAAAAATTAAAACTATGGGCCAGGTGCAGTGGCTCATGCCTGTAATCCCAGCATTTTGGGAGGCCAAGGCGGGCGGATCACTTGAGGTCAGGAGATTGAGATCAGCCTGGCCAACATGGTGAAACACTATCTCTACTAAAAATACAAAAATTAGCCAGACATGGTGGAAGGCGCCTGTAATCCAGCTACTCGGGAGGCTGAGACAAGAGAATCGCTTGAACCCAGGAGGTGGAGGTTGCAGTGAGCCGAGATCACGCCACTGTACTCCAGCCTGGGCAACAGAGCAAGACTCCATCTCAAAAAAAAAACAACTATGTCCAGTATAGGCCTAATTTTATAAAATATCAATGTATGTTTGTGTGTGTGTGTGTGTGTGTATGTATATATATATATATACGTTTCAATGTCTGCAGACATAGGAAAAGGTAAATACTAGAAATAAATATGCCAAAATTTAATGGTGGCTACCTCTAGATGATGGCATTACAGTGTTTAATATATACTTTCTCTATATCCAAGATGTTCTAGAATATAAATGTATCTTTTTTTTTTTTTGAGACAGAGTCTCATTCCGTCACCCAGGCTGGAGTACAGTGGCGCCAATCTCTGCTCACTGCAACCTCTGCCTACTGGGTTCAAGCAATTCTCATGCCTCATTTTCCCAAGTAGCTGGGACTACAGGCATGAGCCACCACACCCAGCTAGTTTATATATACATCTATATACATATATAGACAGATACAGATATGGTTATTTATTAATTTATTTTAGTAGAGACAGGGTTTCACCATCTTGGCCAGGCTGCTCTCATACTTTTGGCCTCAACTGATCCGCCCACCTCAGCCTCCCAAAGTGCTGGAATTACAGGTGTGAACCACCATGCCAGCCTGATGTATCACTTTTATAACCAGAAAAATTTACATTTAAAAAACTAAATGCTTAATTAAACTCTGGAGGTAAAGTGTTCATATCTCCTTTCACTAAGGTGTCCATATTTTCCAAGCACGGACATTTTTATCTGCCAGAATACAGAGCACTAAAAACCAGAGCATTTTTCAAATGAGCATTGACAGAAGGTAACATCTTCAAGTTTTACATTTGATAAAATCTCCTTTGAGAACCATGTTAATGAGTCTAATCTACTGATTTTCACAAAGCTTACTAATAACAGAATCCTTGTTGAGGTTTAACTTGAAAAATACATCTAATTGTAGCCAGGCGTGGTGGCTCACGCCTGTAATTCTAACATTTTGGGAGGCCAAGGCAAGAGGATTGCTTGAGCTCCAGAGTTTAAGACCAACCTAGGCAGCGTAAGGAGACCATATCCCTACAAAAAAATTTTAAAAATTAGCTGAGCATGGTGGTGTGTGTGTGGTCCCAGCTACTTGGAAGGCTGAGATGGGAAGATCTCTTGGGCCCAGGAGGTCAAGGCTGTAATGAGCCGTGAGAGTGCCATGGCACTTCAGCCTGGGCAACAGATAGAGCAAAACCCTGTTTCAAAAAAAAAAAGAAAGAAAGAAAAAAAAGAAAGAAAAAGAAAAAAGAAAAACACATGCAACTGAAAAAAAGCACTTTATTATAAAAATGTCATCAAATACTATTTGAAAAAAATTTACTGGAAATAGAGCTTTAAATTCATGTGTCCCCTGCTAATTTCAGAAAATAATCATTCAACCGTGGGTTGGTCAAAGGATCAGTAGGAAGAAATTGACCTCTTATCATCTACTTCTGTAGTTCTTGGTGTGCTTTCATAGTTCAATACACAAAGATATGGGGGAACTAGAACATTTTAGAAAGAAGGAATAGCACAGCAAAGACCCAAAGGCCAGGAAGCACAGATAATTCATTAGATTCTATCTTTCATGTAGAACTGTATTTAAAATGTCTCAGCATTCCTTATACCAAAATGAACTCCTGCTTGCTCAAGATTTGAGTGTTAAAATAAAAGGAATTATAAAAACATTAGAAAACATAGATGATCCAATCACCAGGAACCATAAAAGGCTAATGCATTTGACTAAGTAAAAATGTAAAGCAAAAATAAATAAAGTTGAAAGGTAACCTGGGAAAAATATCTATAGTACATAATGAAAGTTTTATTAACCTAAAAAGAGCATTTAAAAATCAATAAGAAAAAGATGAAAACCCCCAAAAACTATAGGCAAAGGGTACAAATACAGAAAAAGAAAGACAAACAGCCAATAGTTATATAAAAAGACACTGAGTCTCATTCTTAATTTAAAGTAATGAAGATTGGCCAGGCGCAGTGGCTCACATCTGTAATCCCAACACTCTGGGAGGCCTAGCAGGGTGGATCACTTGAGGCCAGGAGTTAGAGACCAGCCTAGCCAACATGATGAAACACGATCTCTATTAAAAATACAAAAATTAGCCAAGCATGGTGGCACACACTTGTAATCCCAACTACTTGGGAGGCTGAGGTGGAAGGATTACTTGAACCCGGGAGTCAGAAGTTGCAGTGAGCTGAGATTACACCACTGCACTCCAGCCTGGGGGACAGAGCGAAACTCTGTCTCAGAAAAAAAAAAGACGAGATAAAGAAAGAAAATTAACAAAGATCAAAACACCACTGAAACATTTGTCATTCATATGTACAAATATTAAAAGTTGTTGAAGGTGTGCGTAAAGAGAAAAATCTTAAAGACATTTGTTGCAACAATTTTGGAGAGCAAATTGGCCTATCAGAGTATTGGCCTAACAGTGGTATTACTCAGCAATATCACTGATAGTAATTTACCCTATATATACAGTTGTGTAAGCATACCAAGATATACAGACAAGAATGTTCACTGCAGCATGGTTTACAGAAGTCAAATAAACAAATACACAATCCAAATTTACATTAGAAGAGGATAGATTAAATAAATAACGGTATATCCATAAACTAGAACACAATTCACCCCTTAAAAAGTATATGGTCTATACTTCTTAGCCTATAGTGTATATGTGCTAAGAAAAAATATCCAAAAGATATTATTAAATGGAAACAGCTTTACAGTATGATCTTATTTGAGTGAAATCAAACAGTATAAATAAGAATATATAAAAAAACTATTAGGCTGAGGCTAGACATTTCAGTTTTACTTTTTATTTTATACACTTCTTTACGTTTGACCTTTTTGCAATGTATAAGCATTGCTTTTATTAAAATAAGTTTTTTCAAATAATACTTCTTGGATTCCATATCACCAGTCAACAAACTTAAACATTTTAAACTTTTATGAAATGTGTGCTCATGACAATCCCTGTCAACACCATCAAAGTACATCTTATTTGTAAAATTTTAATTTTGAGGGAATTTTTGAGTAAAGATGTCAAGGTACTCAATATTTAAGGCTGATAAAACTTAAGATTTCTAAACTCAGAGAAAAAAAGGAACATGCAAATCTATTATTTAAAAAATCATCACAGAAAAACTCAAGTTTAAAAAAAATACATTGTAAACCTTCACAGACTGTCATTTCACATTTCATCAAAAGCAAAATACGAGTTTGTGGCATTATTTAACACCATCCCAACACACCCCAGGACACATGCTGCCTCTAGAGTTAAGAATGATTAGAAGCAGAAACTTTGTATAGACAGACAAGTATTAAGATGCCACCTCCTTGGGGAAAGGATGGGAGAGGGGAGGATGGGGAAAAGTTGGTAGAGGGGAAAAAGGTTACAGTTAGACAGGAGGAATAAGTTCTGTGTTCTATTGCACAGTGGGGTGACTATGGTTAACAGTAAGGTATTTCATATTACAAAATAGTTAGGAGAGAGGTTTTTGAATGTTCTCACCACAAAGAAATGATAAATGCATGAGGTGATGAATATGCTAACTACCCTAATTTGAACATTATACAATGTATACATGTATTGAAATATCAAGTTGTACCCCATATATATGTATAATTATAATGTGTCAATTAAAAAAAATTTTAATTTTAAGATGCCACCTCCAACACTCACTAACTTGCTTAATTCTGAGCAAGCTACTTCACTTCTCCATACCTCAGTTTCCTCATGTGTAACTGAGGTTACAAATAATGCCTGCCTCAAAGGATTGTAGTGAAAATAAAATAACATATAAAATATGCTCAATACTATACCAGGCACAAAATAAGCATATCATGTATTCATTCATTCAGTTAGTTATGCAATCATTATTTTTGAGCTTACTATGTATCAGGCATCATACTAGAATGCTATGGAGATACTAAAAAAACCATCATCATCCCTGCTCAAGTTTACAGTCTAGTTGAAAAGGTAGACACTAAAAACATACAAAATGTATCATTAGAAACTGTGGTAAATGTTATGAAAGAATATAATTGGGCACCATGAGACAGACTAACCAGAAAGACCTAACTAAAAAACCAAGAAACTGGAACTCCTGTGCACTGTTGAAAGGAATGTAAAATAGTACAGCCGGTAAGGAAAACAGTATGGCAGTTCCTCAAAAAATTAAAGATAAAACTTCCATATGATCCAGCAATTCTAAACTCCTGGGTATTAAATACATACCCAAAAGAAGTGAAAGTGGGGACTCATAAAGATATTTGTGCACCCATGTTCATAGCATTCACAACACCAAAAAACTAGAAGAAACCCAAGTGCCCATCGATAGATGATAAACAAAATATGGAATATACACATACACTGGAGTATTCAGCATCAAGAAGGAAGAAAATTCTGACACATGTTAAACCATGGATGACCTTTGAGGATGTTATGCTAAGTGAAATAAGCCAGTCACAAAAGGACAAATACTGTATGATTCTAGTCTAGAGGTACCTAGAGTAGTCTAATTCATGGAGAAGTAGAATTGTGGTTGCCAGGAGCTGGAGGCCAAGGGGGATAATGGGGAATTACTGTTTAATGGGTAGAGTTTCAGATTAGCAAGATGAAAACACTTCTGGAGATGGATGGTGGTAATGGTTGTACAACAATGTGAACCTACTTTATGCGACTGAACTGTATGCTTAAAAACTGTTAAAATGCTCATTTGTGTTATGTATTATATTAGTTTCCCAGGCTGCCATAACAGAAAAACATAGACTGGGTGGCTTAAATAACATAAATTTATTTTCTCAAAATTCTGGAGGCTAGGCCAGGTGCAGAGGTTCACACCTGTAATCCCAGCACTTTCGGAGGCTAAGACGGGAGGGTCACTTGAGGCCAGGAGCTCAAGAGCAGCCTGGCCAACATGGTGAAATGCCATCTCTACTAAAAAAAAAAAATACCAAAAAAATTAGCCAGGTGTGTTGGTGTACACCTGTAGTCCCAGCTACTCCAGAGGCTGAGGCATAAGAATTGCTTGAACCTGGGAGGTGGAGGTTGCAGTGAGCTGAGATTGTGCCACTGCACTCCAGCCTGGGCTACAGAGCAAGACTCTGTCTCAAAAACAAACAAACAAAATTCTGGAAGCTAGAAGTCCAAGATCGAGGTGCAGGCAAGGTTGGTTTCTCCTGAGGTTTCTCTCCTTGGCTTGCAGATGGCTGTCTTCTCATTATAACTTCACATGGTCTTCCTTTGTACCTGTCTGTGTCTGTATTTCCTCTTCTTATAAGGATACCACTTGTATCAAATGAAGGGCCACCCTCATGACCTCCTTTTAACTTAATTACCTCTTTAAATAACCCCCATTTTCAAATACAATCACATTCTGAGGTATTGGGGGTTAGGCCTTCAACATATGAATTTTGAGTGGGCACAATTCAGCCCATAAAATGTATATTTCACTACAATTTTTTAAAAATAAACAATATAAATGATAGTGGGCAGAGGGTGAAGATCAACATATGGGAAGGTTCTAAGTCAGGAAAAGTATGGTGATTCGAGGAAATGAAAGAAGACCTGTGTGGCTGCAGCACAGGGGAAGTGATAGCTAATACTTCGAGCAGAAGTGAAATGAAAATGCATTCCTTGAAAAACATTCCAAATGTTTACAAAAACTCTAAGAACACGTAAGCCTTCCAAAAAGAACAGTCATGAGAAGGACCAACCAGCTATGTAAAAGACATATTGCTAGTTACCATACATCAATACCTTGAATTAACATTTGGAAGACCTCTCTGCATTCAAAAACAGACAAACTATTTCAGAGTTCATTTTCACACTTTTGTTACAGTCCTAAGAAGTCTTCCAAAGAGTATCTTTTAAAATAAATTACTAATGTGGTGAAATACGCAAATATTTGCCATTTTAGCCATTTTATTAAGTTTTTACCCATAGAAATATCACCACTTAACAGAAAATATCCCTTAGGTTAACTTCAGGGTAAATCATTAAATGGAAAAAAGAATGGTTACTAATTAATGTTATAATTTTATTAAAGCCAACTTACTTTTCCATTAAATTTCATAAATGTGTTAACTACAGAATCAAGAAAAACACTACAGCTCTCATATTATAAGTCTGGATCAGCATTCACAACCCATCTCCTCAAGTGCTGGCCAGCCTGTGGACTGATACCTCCAAAACAGCTATCTATCAGCAGAGCCAGCCTCACAAGCACCAAGCACCACAAGTATCTTAAGCGTCATACACCAACTTTAATAGTGTGCACTCTAAGGAAAACATTCTGAGTTATTGAATACAAGGATACATTCTCAATCACAATGTTTCACAACAGAGGTAATAGATTAGGAAGGTGAAGGAAAAAAAGACTCTAAACTTTTTAAAGCACCGAAACTTCCCAATTTTGTCAAAGATTAAACCACAACCAAAAAAAAAAAAAAAAAAAGAAAAAGAACAACACATTCATATTTACAGAAAACTGACTACTGGATATAAGCACTGCCTTTTCCTCCTGGTAAAATGAATCCTGCAAAAAAAAAAAAGGAAAAGGAAAGGGAAAAGGAAAGGAAAGGAAAGGAAGAAAGAAATCCCATGACATTATGTGTGTATATGTACAGTATATCCAGAATATATAAGGCACATCCACCAATCTAAAAGAGGAACTAATTGGAAAGATATGGCAAAAATTTATAGAAGAGAAAGCATGAAAGGTTAGTAGCCATATGAAAATAAATCCTTAAAAATGAAAGTTAAGGCCACAATAAGGTAAATTTTAGTACACATAAATCACATCTCGATTTTAAAAACACGCAGTAAGAAATGATTCCACATCCACAGGCAAAAGATTTAAGAAGTCTGATCATACCATGTGTTGTCCAAGATGGGGAGCCACAGACAATTTCATACACTGATATACTGTATCCTGGTACAACCACTCAGGCAAGCAGTTGTCATCACCTAGTAAAACTAAACACACATATACTCTAGGAAGCAGCAATTCCACTCCTAGGTTTATATCCTAGAGAAACTCTTGCACATGTGCAACAGCGCTACCTTCATAGCAATCTTTCTCATGATTATATGATTACACAAACACAAATGTTCACCAGCAGTAGAAAGTGTGATACTGCAATATAATAACATATCATATGAAATATATATATATATATATATATATTTTAAGAGATGAGGTCTCTCAGGCTGGCGTGCAGAGGTGTGATCATAGGTCACTGCAGCCTCAAACTCCTAGATTCAAGCAATCCTCCTGCCTTAGCCTCCTGAATAGCTGGAACTAAAGGTGCTCATGTATTTCATAATGTAGAAGACCTATATATATATTTAGCCTTTGTCCCCTAATTCCTGGCACAGGGTTCCTAAAGCCCTTAAAATTTCCTGGGTGATGGGATAAGAGGGATGTCTTTTATTATTCATAATAAGCCCTTTTCAAACACACCTGAATTTATGTTAATGAGGTGACTCCTGGAGGATAGGGGCTGGTTGTCATCAGAATCAATCATTTAATTAAAGGGTTGGAATTTTCATCCCCACTCCTCCACCCCCCCACTCCACCTTGCTGGGGCTACAAATAGAGTTCAATCACCAATGGCCAATGATTTAATCAATCATGCCTACTACATAAATGGAACCTTCATAAAATCCCTAAACTGCAGGGTTCAGAGAGCTTCCTGGTTGATGTACAAGAACATGTTCATATGCTGAGAGAGTGGCATATCCCAAACTCCACCAAGACTGAGGTTCCTATGCTGGGACCCTTCTAGACCTCACCCTATTTATCTCTTCACCTGGTTGTTCATTTGTATCCTTTAATATATACTTTGTAGTAAATTAGTAACAGTAAGTAAACTTTCCTTGGGTTCTACAAGCCTTTGTAGCAAATTATCAAACCTGAGGAAGGGGGTCATGAGAACCTCCAATTTGTAGCCAAGTCAGATAGAAGTTGTAGGAAACCTGGGGACCCCCTACTTTTTGTGGCATCTGAGGTAGGGGGCAATCTTGGACTGAGCCCTTAATGTGTGGGCTCTCTAACTCCAGGCAGTTAGTGTCAGAATTAAATTGGAGGATAAGTAGTCAATGTCTGCCAAGAATTAAAGAATTGGTTGGTGTGAGAAATACCCACACACATTTTGTATCAGAAGTGTTCTATGAGTATACAGTAAAAAATTGTAATCCTCTTTTAAAAAGATAATTAAATTGTAGTATATCTTACAATGCAGTGCTACACTGTAGTAAAAATAACTAAAATATGGCTTCATGAATAAACATGGATAAATCTCAAAAACATAAGCTTGCGTAAAAGAGCAAGGTACAACAGAAGTGTACATGTTATGGAATTCCATTTGTAGAAAGAACAAAAGCAGCTAAAATTAAATAATATATTGTCTAGAGATAAATATATAAAAGACAAATGAATTTTTTTAAAAAGCAAATGAGTGACTAAGAAATGAAGGATAATGGTCACCATAGGAGAAACGTGGGGAGTGGGTGGGGGACAAAAGGGATACAATGAAGGGAGGACAAACGGGTTTCTAAGGTACTGTTCATATGACATTCAATTTCTTAAGCTATATAGTAGGTATCAATGCTCATTTTATTAAGTTTCTTTAAATTATACATGTACTTATGTATATTCTTTTATATGTATATGTCTCATTTTAAAAAGCAAAATAAAAGCCAAGACTCAAATGTTATTTTTTAAAAGAACAACCTGATGTGGCTTCCATTTCAAGATGCCTGACCGCCTGCATGTCCCTCCTGAGTCCCTAATGCAGGGAGAAACATCAAAGAACAAAATGGGAGAATTCCATACTATTGAAAAGAGCTCATTGGAAGGAAACTTTAAATGGGTAAGAGATTTCAACAAATTCCTGGAACACAGGGTAAGGAGTATGCGCTCACAGACGAAACGGGGGAAAGCTGCTCTCCAAGGCCACCAAGGAGGCAATCTGCTCAATAGAGCCTGGGGAGGCTCTGGGCTCAGAGTCAACAGGTATCACAGAGTGGGGAGAGGATCTGCAGCAGGAAATAGGGGGTGAAGTGATGACAGTTAGCACTCCCATCTCTCCCTCTGCCTCTAGCACAGCCTTCACGCAGCCTGGCCAAGTGTATTGACAGACAACACATCTCAGGGTTCATTTCTAAAGAAACTGAACCAACTGTGGCAGCAGGGAGTAAGAGATGGCTTGTGAAGGCTTCTGATGCGAATTCTGATACCTCAGAGTAAATACTTCCTCACGGCATTTTGGGGGTGAAGAAAAGCTGGCCAGCAGACAACCCAGTACTAAACACACACACACACACACACACACACACACACACACACAGAGTGCTTCATTTAGAATTCTCACTCAGGGAAGAGGGATAACTGAGGAAAAAGAAGGAAAAAAAAAAAAGCTCTACATACACATCTTTTTAAAAGAGCAGAGGAAACTTTCCCATCTTTCTTTCCTTATTATGAATAGGGAACCAAGTCTACAAGGAAAACCAGTAACATGAGGGGAAAACTGACCCTGAAAGCGAAGTGTTAATTTGGGAAACAAAAGAGTACTGTACTTCAAAGAGTGGCCAGGCATGCGTGGTAGCTGAGGCTGAGGCGGGAGGATCCCTTAAATCCAGGAGTTCTATGATCACACCATTGCGATCCAGCCTGGGTGACAGAGCAAGATCAATCCTCAAAAAATGGTTGTAGTATCTTCTTGAATCTTTTTTTCTTTAAGACAGTCTCGCTCTGTCACCCAGGCTGGAGTGTAGTGGTGTGATCATAGCTCACAGCAACCTCGAACTCCTGGGCTCAAGTGATCGTCCTATCTCAGCCTCCTGCATAGCTGGGACTACAGAAGCACACCACCACGCCCAAGTGATTTGCTCCACCACACCTGACTAATTTTTATACCAATTTTTTGTAGAAACAGGGTCTCGCTATGTTATCTAGGCTGGTCTTAAACTCCTGGCCTCAAGCAGGAGCTGAACTTGAACTCCCACCTTGTCCTCCCAAAGTGCCAGCGCTATAGCCATGCACTGCACCCCACACCCAGTCAACTACAATCATTAAAGAATAAGACACAATGAAAATAAAGTGATTATAGAGAACAATAAAAAACTTTTTAAATATTTCTGAAAATGTGATCGGCAAAATAGAAATTTAATAAAATTACCATAACAGTAAGGAAATCTCTCAAAGTATATAACAAAAAGACACAAGGATAGAACATATGGAAGAACAGATTAGAAACAAAGGACCAATGCAGGAGATGCAATATCCAACTAATAGCTTCCCAATTTGTACCATGTAAATCCTCCCCTACTCCAAACCCTGAAGAACACTGAACCCAGGGTAGCAACCTCATCCAGCAGGAATGACTCCACAGGCTAAATGAAGCCAATCAAATAGCCTCTTTTGGGAATATGACTTATGAAAAATGCAGGGTCTAATACGGGCCTAAAACCAAAAGGTCATGTCAATGCTGGCATGTATAAATATGCTGACCCATGTGAGAGAAAAGAAAATAGAGAGCAGAGAAAGGAAGAACAAGAGAGGAGGCAATGACCATGATTCTTGACTTTCTATTTCCAGCCCATGCCACAGTCCCTCATGGGTCTACCAGTGCCATATAGATTAGCTGAGAGATTCTACATTTTTAAGGTTTGGGGGGTTTTTCTGTTGATTTTTTTTTAATTAATTTGAGTGGGCTTCTGTTCTTTGCAACCAACAAACTCTGACTAAAACAGCAGGTATCTATTGTCTGGAACTGCACAGTAACCAAGAGACACTGCATTATAACATGGGAACACCCTGCCTTCCCCTGCACCAATCAGCCACGCGGCACATAATCTTGGCTCCCACTGCCTGTCATTCTGTCAGCATTCTGCATAAATGTGAGCAGTGTGGTATTGTTGAACATTACTAAGATTATATGTGATCAAATGTTCCTAATAATTAAAATGTCAAAATCCAAGAGTAAACATATAGTGAATTCAATGAAACATTCAATGAAAACTTGAGATTATGGAACAATTACAAATAGGAGGCAAATGTTAACTTGCCTTACAATATGGAACAAGAGAACAAATCGTTCAAGATTTGGAAAGAAAATGAACAAATTAATGTCTTTTGTGTCCTCAGTTCTTTCATCAGCCTGAAAAATTAGAAAGCCACATAAAATTTCTCTTTTGATGAGCTTAACAAAGCTGATTTACTTAAAAAGGGAATGGAAGGCCATTGTCTAGATTAATCTGCACAGAACAAGAAAAAATATTCTTTGAAGTTCAAGAAATGGAAGGAGGGTGTTTTTACATACATGGAAGTAACTTTCACACATCTCCTGGCTGGATAACCAGAATCAAACCAAAACATGAGAATCTTAAGCCAATGTCTGAGACCCTGAAGAATGAATATTTTGAGCTTGAGCAGAGGAAAGAACAGCCAACATAAAGAGATAGAGTATGTATGTATACTTCTGTGATTAGCAACCATCTTTCCCAGACTCTGATCTCAGAGATCCATAAAATTACTTTTAAAAATATATAATATGTATGTACATATGTATACACACACACAATCAATTCAATTGCCAATGTTCTATTTTTGCAAGTAAAGATAATTCATTTGAAGCCATTACTATTACTAGGTATTAACACTATCATCCAGTTTTTTTTAAAGGTCATCTTAATACAAAAAAAAAAAAAGTAGAAAGGACTTGATCTCAGAATTTTCTAAACCCCTTGAAAACTTCATCACAGGCCAGTAAATGCACTTACTTTAAGTCAATTTTGTACCATGGTTTTGTGGGTTTTGCTTTAGCTAGGATTTGTGATTCATTCACGAATCCCTACCTCTATTATTCCACTAGCCTCTTTCCTCAAAAGGTTATCATAAGTGAGGAAAGCAGGAGATAAGCAAATGAAATATTTAAGAATAATAGTGTTTGGGAGCCCAGAAACATGATAGGGGGGCTTCATGCAAGTGAGGGCTGAGAAGCTGGCGTAGTCAATTAGAAAAGTTGGATTTGAATGGGTGAAGAAAAACAGCCTAGTGAACAGAGGGGATTTAAAGCAGAAGCAGGACTGCATTCGGCGACACTAAGGAGGAGGCCTCAGCTGAGCAGATAACTGACAAGGGGCACTAGTGTGAGATGGAACTGGATGCCAAGCTGCAAAAACTGGGAATTTGCTTGGAAGCAATAAGGAATCTCCAATGGAACTAACATGACAGAGGAAGCATATCAGGCATACCCAACAGAAGCTATGATTTTGTAATAAATTTTGGTAACTTGAAGCAATTTCCTGGGCAGTTGGCCAGTTACCCCCAGTTCTCTGAGAAGATTCAGCTCCATCTACCTTGTGTGACACTGTACTGCTACTGTTTGTGTACCCAGGGCCATGATGGTGGTGACTATCCTAAATCCCCTTGAAAATCACTGAATTTTTCTGTTCTAGGTGTGGCTGCCAACTTCTCTAGGAGTTTGCTCTTGACAACATGGAGGTAGTGTCATTGGTGGAGATAAGAAAAATCATGAAAGATAGTTGCTTCAGAAAAGAACTGGAGATGACTAGCTACTAGAAATTGTCCAGTAGACAATTGAAAATCTATTTGTTTGTTCATCCAACAATATTTTTGAGCCCCTACTTGGCACCTACTATGTGTCAGGCACCTGAACAAAAAAGACAAAGACCCCTGCTTTCATGAAGCTTACTGACATGGTTTGGCTGTGTCCTCACCCAAATCTCATCTTGAATTGTAACACTCGTAATCCCCACATGTCATGAGAGGGACCCAGTGGGAGGTAACAGAATCATGGGGGCAGTTCCCCCCCATTCTGTTCTCATGATAGTGAGTGAGTTCTCACAAGATCTCATGGTTTTATAAGTGTCTGACACTTCCCCTGCTGGCACTCATTCTCTCTCCTGCTGCCCTGTGAATAGGTGTCTTCTGCCATGACTGTAAATTTCCTGAAGCCTCCCCAGCCATGCAGAACTGTGAGTCAATTAAACCTCTTTTCTTTATAAATGACCCAGTCTTGGGTATTTCTTCATAGCAATGTGAGAACGGACTAATACACTTACATTCAACATGGAGATAGAGACAATAAACGTAATAACTAAATACATTATACAGTATGTAAAAAGTGCTTTAGAAAAATACATAAAAGGAAGAACAAAGATTGCTAGTAATTTATAAGAAAACAACAACAAAAACTAAATGAAGCTAGGAGAAGTGATGAGTTCCCCAGAGAGTGGAGTGTTTGGTTAATGCCTTTTCCAGTTCTAAAATTCTAAAGGAATAACCCTAACATTCTTGCTTAAGCAGAAGGTAAGATCAAAGAGTCACAGAATTGTTGTGGCTTGAAAAGATATCAGAACTTGGAACTGTCATCTTACAGATGTCAACTTAGACCATCATGTTACAGAGGAGAAAATGTAGAACCACCAAATTTAAGAAACTTCATCTTAGAACAAAAGACAGCTGGGGCAGAAGGGGGAGTTCCAAAACTCTAGCTTTTCATTAACTTCTACTGAAAGCAGAAGCCCTTTCAGTTGCTTTGGAAGAGGCTCAAATCCTTCTAGGGGTAAGGTAATGAAAAAAAAAAACTTTTTAAAATTATACAAATAAATGGCTTAAGCCACATAATAGCAATAATAAAAACAGCAAACACTTATATAGCACTTACTTTGTGTCAGACACTATTCTAAATACTTGTCATAAATAATAAACTCCTTTAGTCCCCACAACAACCCTTCCCCAAGGAAGACTCTGGAGTCAGTCCTTTTAATGCCAAGCCATCCTCTTTTAATTATTTATGCATAACTTCATATAGCACAATCTTTATTGTTAATTAGGAAACTAGGTTCTAGATTTTTCATCTGAGTCTACCAGAATTGAAACATATTTATATGTGGAAAACGCAACCGTTTAAGCTTCATTTGAAGAAAACATGCTTTAAAATAAAAGAAAACTTGAAACTATATAATATAATCAGTATTATGCTGAGTACACGGGTGTTTCATTAATTCAATAAAGTGTCCTTAAAGATATGTTTTCAACTACATACTACTTCAAAAGACACTTTCAAGACCCTAACGTAACCTTTCTTTTTTAAACAAAATTCCGGAGGCTGAGGTGGGAGTATCACTTGAGGACAGAAGCTCACGCCCAGCCTGAGCAACACAGCAAGACCCCATTCTCTACAAAGAATTTTAAAAATTAGCCAGGTGCGGTGGTGTGTACTTGTAATCACAGCTACTAGGGAGGCTGAGGTGGGAGGATCACTTGAGCCCAGAAATTGGAGGCTGCAATGAGCTATGATCATGCCACCGCACTCCAGCCTGGGTAACAGGGCCAGATTCTTGTCTATTAGGTTGGTGAAAAGTAATCACAATTTTTGCCTTTAAAAAAAAAAAAAAAAAGGCAAAAACCGCAATTACTTTTGCACCAATCTAATATAAATAAATAAATAATTCTGGTGAGGTAGATTTTTTTGTTTTGTTTTGTTTTTTTGTTTTTTAGTTAAACAAATCCCATACTTTTGGTTTTCAGATGAGGGAAAGGGAGAGAGAAATACAATGAAAAGAATTAAATCCTTTTTCTGGTTAGTGTAGTGTGACAGGTGCCCCGCTAGGTTACTAGTATGTCCACTGCCTGAATCCTGCAGGCCAGGCAGTGAGCCAAGGCCATGGTGCCCGAACCAGAAACAGGTATTCCTGAGAACGCAAACATCTCGGAGAGTATCTAAGAACCTACCAAGGAAAATAGTCCCATTACACACACGTAGTAGGCAAAAAGCCAGAAAATTAGCTTAAAAGCACCTTAGAGATGGGAGGCAACACGGATCTCCAGGGCTGTTCTGCTGCCACCCAGGAGTGCCCCATATGTAAATCTTAATAAACACATCTACTAACCAAGCTGGACTTGTCTGCATCATTCTTTGGTCTCTCAGCACTTTCCCAGTTTGGGGGGCTGGGGGGTGGGGACAATACAGTCCCAGGGTTTTCTCTTTACAGTTAATATTTTTCTAAGCATGTGATATTTAAGATTTTACTATTAGAATCATGACTTGAATAACATACAACACATACTGATAAAATATAATAACATATTTTTAAACTAAAAAAAGAAGTTTCCTTTTCTACACAACTGAACATAGATTTTGTGGAATGCATTATAAAAAGTTACCAACTGTATGTCTAAAGTTGATGTGCCTTTAGTTAATGAGGTTCATCTTCATTTCAATAGGCTTTCTCAGTATTATTAGAAGGTTTGACTATGTGTCACATGCCATTAAGATTCACTCTATGGGTGTGTCCACCCATGGGTCTGTCCAGTTGTACTGGAATTTAATCACATGGAATAATAGTTGAATACATGGATCATCAGCTATGACATTTTATTACCATGTTAGAGGTAATGTAACCTGCTTTACACAGTAGGAATGGTCTATACTATTTATATGTGCAGACCTCAAAGCAACTTCGAAACCCTCATGGATTAACTTGTTCAGCTCCAAACAAGCCCTTTATCTTTTTTCTATGAAAGAAGAGAGGTGATTTTTCTTCCTGGAGCAATGGTGGGAGATCCCAGGTTCCCTATTTCAACAAAGCAATATATTTAGATATGATACAGAGGAAAATAGCCTATGTTGGCTCTTATATTCAACATTTTTGGTCATCCTTGGGAGGATCTCATTTCATTATGCTATATTTTCAAACACACAATCCCTAGAACCCCCAGCGGATTTCAAAAGCTTCACTGGCATACTATATACATATATCTTTCTCCTTAACATGATCACCACGGTTTTGAATGGCTTACTAATACTCAATTCAGCCATTATTTTGCATGCAAAACATATGCAGGCCAATATTATAGCACTGTAAAGAATATAAAGAGTACTACACTCAACCCTCCATATCCATATCCATGAGTTCCACATCCACGGATTCAACTAATCAAGGATAAAAAATATTCAAAATATTCATGTCTGTACTGAACATATGCAGACTTTTTTACTTGCCATTATTCCCTAAACAAGACAGTATAACAACTATTTGCATAGTATTTAGATTGTATTAGGTATTATAAGTAATCTGGAGATTATTCAAAATACATGGTAAGACATGTGTAGGTTATATGCAAATACTATGTCATTTTATATCAGGGGCTTGAACATCCCATGGATGTTGGTATTACTACTGGATGCTGGTATTTCTACTGGATGTTAGAATTACTATTTTTAAAACAAAATTCCAAAAAAAATCTTATTTGATATTCATATGATTCTACAAAGATTTCTTACACCATTTAGATTTAGACTAGCACAGGTTTATATTCTTCCACTTCCTAAGAACTGAGAGGGTGATTTGAGACAAAGATGACACTTTGTCAAGTTTAAAACTGGAAAAGTCCTGGAACCAGTTCCTCACAGATACCGAGGGATGACCACAGTAGAATCCTGGTCTTCAAGCAACTTTTAAACGAGTAGGATAAGATATGCGTACCAGTAACTGTAGCCACAAGGTAGAATGAGAGCCAGAAGAGAAGTGTTGTAGATGTTCAGCTTAGAGGGACTCTAAGCTTTGCTGCAGCCAACATGCAGACAGAAACACGATCTGTTTTAAGATTCAGTGTCCACAGGGTAAAAATAAACCAGTTGCTCAAAGAAAGAACTATTTTGGTACTGAGTCAGAATGAAATTTATCCTGTGGTTCCTGATAAAAGATTCTATTTAATGTAATAAAAACCCCTACGTTTTTGTTTGTTTTACAATGAACAGTGCTAAGGTTGAGTGGGGCTGAGAAACTCTAATGAAAACCAAGAAATGTAACATGAACACCAGGCAGAAGAGCAGGGATTGGCTCAGCCATGTTAGTCAGGTCCATACCTGCAGCTTCCAGAGAAGATACTGAAGCGTCGCTGCCATATTTAAGATAGCTGCATTTCTTTTTGGGGAATAAAATACAGATAGGATCTAAATAAGTAAACATCAATGTGTCATTTAACTGAACTAAATAACTTTTTTCTTATACAAATTAAATCACAAAAGCATTGTGATGTCATCATTTTGATATTCCATAAAAATGGAAAATAGGTCATCAGTCTGAAACAAACAAAAGTGATTTACAGCTAGGAATTACTATTTTTAAAACAAAATTCCAAAAAATCTTACTTGATATTCATATGATTCTACAAAGATTTTTTATACCATTTAGAATTTTTTTTTTTTTTTTTTTTGACACAGAGTTTCACTCTGTCACCCAGGCTGGAGTGCAATGGCACAATCTCGGCTCACTGTAACCTCAGCCTCCTGGGTTCAAGCGATTCTCCTGCTTCAGCCTCCCGAGTAGCTGGGATTATAGGCATGTGCCACCACACCTGGCTAATTTTTGTATTTTTAGTAGAGATGGGGTTTCCCCATGTTGGCCAGGCTGGTCCTGAACTCCTGACCTCAGGTGATCCAGCCGCCTCAGCCTCCCAAAGTGCTGGGATTACAGGTGTGAACCACCACACCCAAACCCATTTAGATTTATACCAACGCAGGTTTAGGAAAATTTTTTACTGGAGGTTAAATAGGGCAAATCCAGTCATCACAGATACCCCTTTAATTATTTGATAATTTTAATTTAAAAGATTTTTATTTATAAGATTTATATACCACATGTTCTCACTCAGGTGGGAGCTTAAAAAGTGAATCTCATGAGGTAGAGAGTTGATTCGTAGTTACCAGAGGCTGAGAGAGGGTGGAGGGAGGAGAGAATGAAGAGAAGTTGGTTAATGAGTAGGAAAATAGTTAGCTAAAAGGAGTAAGTTCCAGTGTTCCACAGCACAGTAAGGTGACTATAGGACTATAGTTAGCAACAATGTATTGTATAGTTCAAAATAGCAAGACTAGAAGAATTGGAATGTTCCCAACATAAAGAAAAGATAAATGTTTGAGGTTATAAATATCCCAATTACTCCAATTTAATCATTATATATTGTATGCATGTATCAAAATATCACATTACCCCCAAAATACCTAAAACTATTACATATCAATTTTTTTAAAAGATGTGTGTCATAAAGGAGTCCAATTCCTCATCTGGCCACCAAGAGCAAGGGTTTCCTTGCATAGTGTGAAAAAGAAAAGATATTTTCTTAGACAACAGAATCAAGGAATGATTGGCAGTAGGAGGTCAATTCTTTTTACCTAACCAGTGACCTACTCATTACTCAATAGTAAACAACCAACTAATACTACACAGTGTTCTGAGGCAAGATCTGCATACACTGATTGGAACTAAAATCATTACCAGATTAGATCAGCTCAAATTCCAATGATTAGTCCCATGTCACTAATAATATAAACTCCAAGTTTCCAAATGAGCCAACTGGTAACATTTATGAATGACTGGGGAAAAAAAATCCAATTCTTACTGCAATGATTCATACACCTGGGAATGAATAATTGACCAAGAGGCAGAGTTAACTGGAGTCAATGTGAAAATATTTACTCCTGAATTTGGCTCTCCCTGTTATATCATTTTTCACATAGTTTTACACTCTGTGATTATATGTACCACTTGCCTAAAGCTATCAAAGAAAAGTTTCATAGAAAAGAAAAAATATGTAAATTTAGAATATGCTGAGTCCTTATATTTATATACTGATCTATAACAGTCTAAGAATATCTCATTCATATAGTAAGTAACATAGTGACATTATTTATTAATTCCCATCTAATCCTACAAAGAATTTGAGATAGCTTATGAGAAATGCATATGTTAAAAAAGAAAACTAGGACTTACAGCCAAAGAGTATAAATTAGGGTAGTAAATGAAGAATGTGGCCAGGATAAAAGAAAATGGAATAGAATTCAAAATGGAGACCATGAAGTCTTACACAGTAACTACAGTTCAACAGGGAATTTGATTTTGTGCTTTATAGCAGCAAAGGTGAAAACGTAAACATGATTAGTTATATAATTTTCCATCGGGAACAAACATTTGCACTTCTTCAGGGAAGCAAAGTTCTTTCCTATCACTTACTATGAAAAAGTTGCTCTTCGAAACACTGAAAGATATGACGGAAAAATCTCCCAACAGCATCCCTATAGCAAAAAAGGGCATAGAGCTGTTTTATATGCTGTCCCTAATTAAATCTGAACTTTGCAATAGAATCAAGATAATATGGCCCAGGCATGCAATTTTTCAAGAGACATAGTAGATTGAGCAAGAGATTCTAAAGGGCTACGAGTCTAATAGTGTAGTTTGATTCAGAGATTATCAGCAGTGAAGTACAAAAACAAAAATAAAAATAGCCAAAACTGTGATGTTTCTAAGTTTCCACCTCACCTCCCTTCTCTCTTTGAGCAAGTTCCTGGCCACCGTCATCTATCTCACAGCCTCCACTCCCATGCCCTTAGTTAACACCTCTTCTAACTCAGAGCTAAAATCCCATTTTCATTTATTTATCTGATACTCATACTTCAATGTCTCACCAGCGCCATTAACTCCGCAAGTTTCAAACTAATCTAAGTAGTCTGTCCTCCTAAATCTATTTTTTTTCTGCCATCCCAAGTTTGTCACAGAAATCCCATCTTCCCAGTCATCTGGGCTTACATTCCTGGAGTCACACTCTTCCCCTTCTTCTCCCTAACTTTCCACATCTCATCAGTAGACTGCCTTACTATTCCTACCTCCACAGGGACCCATCACATTTTCTCTAGCCCCAGGGTCACCATCCTAGATCAGAACGCCATTACCTACGGGCCTTCACAGTAGCCTCCTCAATACTCTCTCAGCCACCTCTCTCCCCATTCCAACTTATCTTATATACTGCTGTAAGAATAATATTCCTAAGGCTGTGACTGTGTCAGTTTAGTCAAAAACCTTCATCGCATTTCCTCTGCTCACCTGAAGCAAGCTGGTATTTCAGGCCTAACCCGAAAGGCTTTCTCCCTCACACACACACTTGAACTTGCCAAAAGTCTAACTACTCCCAAAATAAGCTGTATCTTTCCATTTTTGCTCATTAGTAATACAACCATACAATACCCTTCCCTTCATCTCTGCATGTTAAAAGACCAGGTTTAAATGGTACCTCACCCAGGAAGCACTTTCTAGTCCTCTCAGCAAAAAGTAAGCACTTCCTCCTCTCTCCCTCCCCCTGCACTTGACTAGGGCTGTAATTCCAGAGAGTAATCATCACATCTTATCAATCTCTCTCCTGTCTAGCCTAGACTTCTGACTGCTTCAACCTTACCATCCTAAACACACTTCTGATCCTGTCAGCACAGTGCCTAGTCATCCCTCAGTTTCCTCATGAGGATATGCAAGGCTCTCCACAGTTGGATTTACCCAGCACACTTTGTTCATACATTGATCACTGCACAAATGGAATCACACTGGAGTTACAAGTCCATCTCCTCCAGAGCAAAGACCAAGTCTTAACTAATTTTTGCAATCTAATACAGCCACCCAGTCACTCTCTGCAGACCATCTGACTTTAATTCTCTGAAGAGCAGGTCTTTTCCTGCTTACATATTTATTGTCTGTCTCTTCCTCACTCACCCAATGAGAATAGGAACCTTGCTTGCTTTGTTCACAACTATATTCTCAGCACCTAGAACAGTGCCTGGCACACAGCAGATCATCAAAAGTTCAGGATGAATTCATGAATTCATGACTAGATGAATGATTCCTAGTGTCTACCTCAGTCCTAGCACAACATAGGTGCCAAGTAAATATTTGCTCAATGAATGAATCTTGTCTTATACGAAAGTTATTTTCACACATATTTTAAAAGCTCTGTGAGTTGGTGATCTTGATAACCTGTCTGGCACCTAACATAATGCTTTACACATACTAGGCCCTTGACAAATTTCTATTAAATTGGATTGCTAGTTCAATAAAGGCTCAAGTAATTTACTAACTTATCTTCCAAATCTGAATTTGTCTCATATTTTCAATAAAGAGGAGTTGCATTATTTCTTATGGCACATAATGCCTCTCTTCCAGAGGAAAGGCTGTACTACAGAGTAGTTAAGGTCACCAGCTTTGCTTTAGAGATCTGGATTCAGAACCCAGCTCTGTCACTGGTTACCCATATGACTTTGGGCAACTATTTAATCTCTCTTCACTTCAGCTTCCTCCTTAAAAGATTAGTAAACCTGCCATACAAAGCAGCCAATTTCCTTCACAGCTAAATGATCCATCCTGAATCCTTTATTATCCTTTCTTTAACCAGTTTTAAATTGTTCAACTCATGTCAGAATATTTCAATACATTTTGCTTGAACTTGAATGGGTCATTATTTAAAATAGTAGGGGATTATGTTTAGAAAGTATTAATTCTCATTAACTTTTCATGACCTTACAGCATTGCAGTGCTCATCCAGTGAACACAAGTGACTTTAGAACATTACTGCCCTCATACCTAAGACTTCCTGAAGCCACAGCAAAATAATTTCCCAAAGTGGCACTATCTCACACAGAAAAGTAATTCTCTTTCCCTTAACACTTGACACAGGAAATGGCACGACAGTCAGGTAAGTGATAAGAACATGAACTGTACCTATTAAATACATTACAAAATAACATGACCCCAGCTTAAGAATGATTTTTTTAAAAACAATAATAATAAGGGGCTTAATGCAAATGTAAGCGCATCATCTCAGTCAAAATGCATTTGACATTATTCAAATCCCTCTGGGGGACAATTGCATTTGGAGGTAGGGAGTGGCGGGCCAGGGCTCACAAGGATTAACTCACTGATTCAGGTTAGAGCTTGCGACTCAACCACAGTCAGGATTGACTGAGATTCACACAGATGGGCAGAAAACATAGTGAGTCTCCTGCACAAACACTGAAAGGCCTTTTCCACCAGGCTTATTTACCAAAAAAGCAGTGGCCTGCTAAAGAAGATATTTATCCTAGAAGCAGTCTTTAAAAGATCAAATTCAAAAGATGGTTCTCTCACAAATCTTATTATTGCTAGGCACAAAAAAATGTATTTGCATAAGTAAATATAGTCAGCACTGAAGCAGTATGAAAATGTAAGCTTTTACTGGCAAGTAGTCAACAAAACAAAAAGCAAATGAAAGCTAAACCTCTGTTGCTCAGGTGCAAACAAGAATACTAGAATAAAAGGTCAATAGAACTTTTGTTACTGCCCGTGTAAACTAAGGCTTCCTACCAAAATGTTAGGCTTACAGAGCCGTCTACTATACTGAAAGCATCGTATCATGTTGATTTGAGTGCATTTTCTCAAAGGTAAGCAAGTGAAAAGTATAGTCCTGAGGGTCAGCTGAATGGAGCTGTGACAAATATCCTGCTGGAAGGTAATCTTCAATAGCTGCTGTTATCAGTTCAGTATATCCAAAAGTGTTCCCACAGATTAAAAGGCAAAGACATATATGTGTTATTTTAGACTCAATTACTCCTACTTAAAATCAATGCCAATTTAAGCTATTGGAGAAAGGTATAACACACAGTAAATTTCTTCCAAAATCAGAAAGTAAAAGGGCAGTACCTAGTACAAAAAAGGATAAGTGCTGGCAGCTAAGTCAATGAAAATATTGAATAAATAATCTTGAATAGTAGAACTTGGCAAGAATCCCTGATGCTTTTCAATGAAAGAATGTGGTCCCAGTTCTGTGATCTTTCACACTAACAGGGACTGTTCTTAAGCATAGAACTCAACACCTGGGAATGTAAGGCACTTTATAAGTGTTAACTCAACTCCCTGTTACATTCCTTTCTAGTAAAAAACAAATTCTGCAAGATTTATTTCGACCATGGAGGATGAAAAGCACAAAGATGAAGTGAATGACTTAAGAAGGTAAAACACATCCCTCCACCTCATAACCAGAAGCAAAACTGAAACATCCTTACTTCATGAAGAGAGGCTTTGTGAAAGATTTTAACAGAAACAGCAAAACCCACACATCCAGAGGAGCATTAGCCTCTTCAAAGACAACACACTTCTTATTATAAAAATGCCCACCAATGCTCTAAACATTTTAGGAACAATTCTTTTAGGACTGCCTTCATGCATATAACATTCCTTTGAAATTTTCAACTGTGGCAAATTTGGTTATTTGAAAGTGGAATTTGGTATCTGTAAGCTGGAAAGTACATTTAGAAAATGAAGAGAATCATCAAACTGATTTTTTTTTTTTTTTTTTTTTTTGAGATAGAGTCTCACTCTGTCGCCCAGGCTGGAGTGCAGTGGTGCGATCTCGGCTCATTGCAACCTCCGCCTCCCGTATTCAAGCAATTCTCATGCCTCAGACTCCTGAACTGCTGGGACCACAGGCACATGCCACTACACCTGGCTAATTTTTGTATTTTTAGTAGAGACACAGTTTCGCCATATTGGCCAGGCTGGTCTCCAACTCCTGGCCCCAAGTGATCCACCCACCTTGGCCTCCCAAAGTGTCAGGATTACAGGCATGAGCCACCGTGGATATTATTTTTAATCAAAAGGATAAGTGCTTTCATCCTTTATGTGGCTTGTAAACTACTTCTAAAGACAATTCTTTAGAGTTGCTCCAAAATTCCTTTCTAACAACAGCAGCTATGAAATAAGGAGGTAACCTCCCTAGATGATTTCTTTGAAGGGCACGTTTCACTTTTTACAATGTCTTTGGTATTGGTATTGTGTGTGCGCTTAATTAACTAGATGATGGCCATATCTAATTCCATTCTTTCATGTTATTCATTCATTCAACAAATATTTATGGTGTACCTAATCTGTACTAGGTACTGAGCTAAGTGTTGGGGAAACAATGGTGAACAAAAACAGGCGAACTGCCTGCCTTCATGAAGTGTACAGCCAGGTGGGAAAACAATTTATGTAAGCATATAAATTATAACCAGTAAGTCTAATGGGAAAAAAAGATACATAGTGATGTAAATGCCTATAATAGTGAGACCCAAACACTATGAACAAAACAAAACAGGCGAACTGCCTGCCTTCATGAAGTGTACAGCCAGGTGGGAAAACAATTTATGTAAGCATATAAATTATAACCAGTAAGTCCAATGGGAAAAAAAGATACATAGTGATGTAAATGCCTATAATAGTGAGACCCAACTAGGGTAAAGACTTCCCTAAGGAAATGGAGCCTGAGCTAAAGATAAATAGGAGTTAACTAAGCCAAGGTGGCTGAGGTGGAGATGTATAAAGATGATGTGGGAGGGGGAGGAATGGTGTTCCAAGTATGGTCAACAGTGTGTGCAAAGGCTCTGCAACTTTTTAAAAGAGAAAAACACATTAAAAGAAATGAAAGAACGACAGTGGTCCTCAAGTATTGAGAGTTAGTGAGAGAGTATCATGAGATGAGACTGGAAAGACAGTTGGGGAGCCTTGCACGTATTAAGGATCTTTATTTACCCTTACAGTGATTAAACAAAAAAGCCCCAAAAGGATTTTAAAATGGGAAGGAGGGTGCTGGAGGGAGAATGACATGATGAAATCTACATTGTTTAAATATTACTAAGGGTGAGGTAGAAGAGAGTGGCCTGGGGAGAAGCAGGAAGACCAGTTAAGAGACGAATGTAGTAACACAGAAGAGAAGGTAGTATTAGTAAAGATGGAGAGAAATGAATGAATTTGAGCAATATTAAGGATATAAAATCAGTTTCATTATTTACTTAGAGATAATGCTTTGGTTTTGCCAAAGAGTTCCTTAATTATTTGCAAACTGAAAACCATCATACAAATGTTAGGGTTCTTTTTCAATCAGCCTTCCGCATCATATTTATGGTATTTCTAAAGCATATTTTTGACAAAAATGAAAAAGCAGCAAAGAGAAAAATGAAACTCAAGATGTATCTCATTTTATGTAAAAATGTGTGTTCCTGAAAAATTGTGTTATACCTGGGCAATAAAACAACATATACCTTCAGAAATATTCCTGAATAAACATTACTTCTTTGCACAAAAGCATATACTATAAAATGCAAAACAGATTACCATGATACTATATCAAGTGAAATACAAACCACTATCTTGATTATTTCCATACATCATTTCTCCTTTATTATAGGGTACATAAATTGGGTGATTTTATAACTCTAAAAGGATGGCATGGCTCAGAAATTTAATAATCACCATCGAGTTTCATAATAAACCATTTAGTAAGCAACTGGAATGCCCAAGAGGCTTGCAATGATTTAGATCTATTCCTTCGCCAATGATTTTACTCACATCGCCAATGATTTTACTCACATGGAAAAGTCATTTTATATCTGTATTACCATGATATGCTCTCTGTAGTTGACATCCTCCAGAAAATATAGCTTACCCATAAGTCTGGGTTACAATGTCATGACAATGTAATAAGAAGTTCAAAATGTTCTCTTCCTGGTCCTTCTCAGAATTAGGAAAATGGGGTTGAGAGGGCAAAAAAAATTCAAATTAAAATTAAAATTTTAAAGTACAAAATGTAGTCATCCTTACAGATTGTATGAACACATATACCACAAAAAGTCTAATTTTATACTGACTTGCCCACATGTTTTTGTGTCTGACTTATAGAGAACAATTTGTACCACAGCTCAGCGCAAACATAAAGAAGGAGCTGGGTTTTACTAGTCTCATATATCAACAACAAATGTCCTATCTAAATTCTAATTCCATGAGCTAAAAAAAGACAGTCTAATTTTAAGCTTTTGCAACTACAGTTTATATCACTCCTACAAAATGAAGCTTTTGATTTGGAAAGAAACAAACTCAATATAAAAATCACTGATGAAAAAATATAAAACCATAATAAGTCAATAAACTGACTTCTAAAGGCTAAGTAAGTGCACTTTTAAACATGTTGCTTTTGGTGATCTAAGTCACAACCTAAGCATTATTTAAACAGAGATCCTGCATATGAATTGTTTTCTTTCCTTAAAAAAAAATCATTAAGGTACTAAAGTTTAGGTGAAGTAACTTGAATAGCCTATAACAGGATCTGGATAGTCACCATCATTTATAACACATATGCTGAAGCATGAATTGGGCATGTGTGTTTTAGGAAATATTACACTTCTGATATAACACAATAGCTCTTTAAAAAAAATGCTGTGCTCTGCTTTCTGTGATTATATTTTAAATGTACCTTGAAACCTTTCTAGCACAGGAGTGAGGAGGGGAAATCACAAAAACTCTCATTATTTTTGGTTTTTAAAGAAAAATACAATAATTTAGGTTTAGGAATTAAAATCTTAAGCCTTATAACACCGTAAGGCTACCTAAACAAAATTCACAGGAAAATATTACCACCAGCCTATGCCAGGAAGTGCTCTCTGTATGCCAAGTTGCAGCTCATTAGGACATTTTATGATTACATTACAACAGCTGAAAGATGGGGACCTCCCTATAATAAAACTGTTGGCCCTTTCTTGATTTCATCTGCCTGGCAAGATATTATGATAAGTTACTTTGCCAATGAGTCTTCAAATACAACCACACCACTTCATTCATTCACCAATAGTTCAGTAAGAAGAAAAATTGATTATCCTATTTAAACCTCAGGTCATTTTATAATTTCTGAACTTCAAGTGAAGAGATTTTCATTCACCCTTCACTTTTCTTGAGAAGCACAAAGAAATATGTCTGAAATGGTGGTAAGAAATGAAAGGATTAGCCAGGATATCTGCAGTCTCATACCTAATTTTTATGAACAGAAAAAAAAATTAAGCGTTGCATTTATCAATGTTAATATGGTATTTTCTAGGTTCTGAGAGGAAATGATTACTAAAGAATCTTGGTGTGAGAGCTAACCTTTTTTGTTGTTTTTTATTATGGAAATTTTCAAACATATACAAAGTAGAGAGACCCATACAATGAACTATCATCACCCAGCTCAGAGTTAACAATGAATGGATTGCCAATTTTGATTCAGCCAACTATAATCTTCCATTTCCTCTCTCCGCCCCGCTTGTTTTTTTAAAAGCAAATCTCATGTATCATATTAAAGATAGGCAGAAAAATTACGTCCCAAAGAGATATTCACTTCCTAATCCCCAGAACCTGTGACTATTACCTTGAATGGCAAAAGATGTGACTAAATTAAGGATTCCAGGGAAGAGTTTATCTTGGATTATCCAGGCAGGCCCTAAATGCAATAACATGTCCCTCCAATTTTAGTATATGTGTTGCTGAAGCGAGCACACATGTATCCTTATAAGAGCAAGGCAGAAAGAAATTAGACAGGGACACATGTAGAGGAGAATGATGCAAAGACAGAGCAGAGAGATGCAGCCACAAGCCAAGGACAACCACCAGAAGTTGGAAAAGGCAAGGATTCTCCCCTAGAGTCTTTGGAGAAAATGGGGTCTGCCTATACCTTGATTTTAGACTTCCGGCCTCCAAAACTATGACAGAATAAATTACTATTTTTCTAATCCACATAATTTGTGTGATAGCAGCTGTAAGAAACTAATACAGTATCATATAATCTAAAAAAAGTCTATGTGAATCTTTAAGAAATAAGAACTCTTTTTAAAATAATACCATTATTATTTCCTTAACAAAAAATAGTCCCTTAATTTATCTACCATCCAGAGTTTAAATTTCTCATATTATTCATGATTTTATATTTATAATATATAACTTTAGGGTTGATGATTTATCTAAGTCAAGATCCAAACATGGTTAATATGTCTCTTAAGTCTGTTAATAATAGTTCCTCTTCCCTCTTTGTTTTTCTTGTCATTTATTTATTGAAAAAACTGAGTAATCTGTCCTGTAGAAATTCCTACACTCTGAATTTGGCTACATCTTTATGGTATGGTTTGACATAGTCCTCCTTTTCCTGTGCTTCTTATAAACGAGTAGTGAGATCTAAAGGATTGATCAGAATCATGTTCAGCTTTCTGGCAAGAAACTTCACAGATGGTTCTGTGTATTTCCTATACAGAACCTATTGTATCCAATTAAGAGGCATGTAACATCTATCTCTTTCTCTTTTGTAATGGTAAGATTGACCAGTAGGTTCAGGGGTTATTAGTCCAATCCATCAGCTATAAAGTTCCCCATCAACCTTTAACTTAATAATTTTAGCAGCTACTGATGTCCATTCTCTAAATCTATTATTTCATTGGAGGTAACAAAATGGTAGTATTTTATTTGTATCACTCATTTTGCGTTTATTAACTGGAATTTTTCTAAAAGCAAGATTTTATCTGAATCATCTATTTGGTTATTCTGAAATACAACTTTTTTTTTTTTTTTTACAGGAAAGATAAGACAAATGCTTGATAGCATCTAGTTTTTAAGATAGTACCAGGATGGGTATCTGCCTCTTGACTACAAAGATCACCTTGTCTATAATCAATGAGTATAACTTCTCAACTGTACTCAAGTTGGTTCTCAAGTTACTGATTTAAATACTTGGCATATAACATGAAACCTATTTTTAAAAGATCCAATATGACTATGTCAATCTGATGTAGTCCTTAGGGTTTATGCCCTATCAGATGGGTCCAAACTCCTAAACCAACTACTTCAAACCATCCACTCTGAGTCTACCTTATCCTACTTCACTAACACAAACCATATTCTCATTCTAGATTCCATGCCTTTGGTTCACTGCTCTAAGGTCCTGCCTTTCTCCCTACAGCCAGCTCAAGCCCTCCTCTTCTCCCCTCGGGAGTAAACACCACCTCCTGCTCTTGCCATCCAGCACTCCTCCTTTTTTCTAAGAATGGTAGAATCCTTTTTAAAAGAAAATGTTCATCTTTCCCAGACCAACGATGTAATTCTAGATGGGGCTGCCAGTTACCTGGTAATCTGTGTCCCTGGCCAAAAGGATGGGGACATCTCACAAGTTAGGCCAACCAGAACCATTCCGGGGATTTTGAAAATTTAAATGAAGGGAAGAAGGTCAGACATTCTTTCTGGGTGATCTCTGGCTTGCTGCAGCCACACCCCAAAATGTGGAGAAAACTGACACAAAAAAAGAGGCACAGAGATATAAGACAGAAAGTGTAGGTGGTGTGGAGTTCCCCGTTCTGGCTTCCCTGAGAACTACCTCACTTCTCCCACACTTTAGCCATGTAAGCCAATAAATCCCCCTTCTATATGGTTTAGATTTATATAATTTGTGACCAAAGGAATTGTAATACAACCCCCATAATGGTTCTTGAAGAGTTTGACCACAGTGACTTCTACCTTTCCAGTTTCTCAAACTTCCTTTCTGTACAATTAACACTTTATTATATACTGTCCTGATTTTCTGTGTGTCAGGTACTCATTTGTCACTACCTTTTGTGGCTTTGCAGACATACATGTTGCACACCTTTTGAACCTCCCCCACAGTCCCTAGAAGAGTGCTAATACAGCTTCAGTGCATAGGTAGCAATTACCATGTATTGATTATTAATTCCATGTTAAGTACCTTGCATGTGTTATCTTATTTAACCCTCATAGAAACTCCCTGTATGGGCATTATTATCTCTATTTATAGATAAGGAAGCTAAGGTTAATCAAAGAAAAGTAACTTGTGCAAGGTCACATATTTACCAATTGGTAGATCAGAGATTTGAAACATATTTGCACCCAAATTGCATTCTCTTTCCACTAGGCACATACAGCCTCACACAATGTTAAACACTTGCTAATTTAATTTGAGAGCATAATTGATCAAAGACCTCCATGTAACCCCTAAATTTCCACTAACCTCAAAGTGTGTGTTCTTCCATAATTAAAAATAGTAAAATTAATATATTAATATATAAATAAATTAGCTATATGAAAATCAGCATCTTGATAAAGTTATAATACAATTTCTCCAAAATTACTACTGGCAGCCTGAAGACTAAATGCTGGCATTTCTCTTAAAGCAACGGGTAAAAGGAATGAATATTTAAGACTACTCTGTCAGAACAAGTTGTATACAACTCCCCTGGCAGTGATATTTCAAAACAGCAAAAAGAGATTTGTGAACACCTGTCAATGGGTGACAAGCCTACAGCTCTCCAATTGCTCAGAGGAATATTCCTGTGTCATCATTAGACACTAATAGTTATTGATCACTCTCACGGCTAGAAAGCAGAACAGAAGGCCTTTAGGAAGAAAATGATTCCCTCTTCATATTAATAGCTTAGAAAGAGAGGGGCTAGAAAGACAGTGATGGCGATTCACTGGCAGAGAACCTAAAAGTCACCAGCTCTGATCTCTACACAATCAGCATCATTCAGATCAGCCTTCTCAATTCCAGCCTTCTCAATTCCACGCTTGTATCTCCAATTCCAGCTGGGCAGGTCTACATGGAGCTCCTGCTATCAAATTAACTTTGGGGCAACCAGTTTTTCAGGATCTAGTGAAGTACCTCCACTGAAAAGTGTCTCTGGCCAGGCGCGGTGGCTCACACCTGTAATCCCAACACTTTGGGAGGCTGAGGCAGGCGAATCACTTGAGGCCAGGAGTTTGAGACCAGCCTGGCCAACATGGCAAAACCCCGTCTCTACTAAAAAGAAATATTAAAATTAGCTGGACGTGGTGGCTTGTGCCTGTAGTCCCAGCTACTAAGGAGGCTGAGGCACAAGAATCCTGTGAACCCAGGAGACGGAGGTTGCAGTGGGCTGAGACTGCACCACTGCACTCCAGCCTGGACAATGGAGCAAGACTCTCTCTCTCATTAAAAAAATGCATATATATATTTTTTTTTTTCAAAGGAGGCAAACCCAAACTCAATTCAACAAATATTTATTGAATGTCATGCACTGGTCTATGTATTGGGATATATAGCCAAGATTATCAAATATCACAAAGCTTTACATTCTTATGTGGGGAAAGAGTTAATATATATATATATTTTTTTAATGTCTCATAAATATTTGTTAATGGTCAACTGCTTCTTTTTTTTTCTTTCCCATTTTTGTCACTTTACTTGAGGATCTTATTACCATACAGGTACTCTTCGAGGACTCTAATGAATGTTCCTAGTGGGCCAGAAGACTTTGTCAAAGCAGCATACCCCTCATATATAATTTGACAACAGTGCAGCCAAGGAAAAAATAGGCCTGGAACATCATTAAAAATGGTTGCATCCCCTAGTAGAACAAGATTTTGCTAACTTGCATACTTTGGTAAAAGGCAAGCCCTAAAGAGTACCATCACTGTCAAGACTCAAGAATACCTCAAATTAGATCATATATGTGAAAGTGCTTTGCAAACCATGAACTGCCAAGGAAACTGCCACTTCTGTTATTGGTGTGGCTATTACAAAGGCACAGACCTAGGAAGGCGATAGTTGTATGGCTTGAAGGAACTAGCTAGGTCTAGAAACAGGGGTCTTCAGCAACAAGAAGAAAAAAGTAAGAGAGGTCCCAGAGGATGCAACAGGAAGCCTCAATTAACAAAGAGATTCGGGGGAGGGAAGGGTTCCAGGTTAGCAAACCCCAACTCAATTCAACAAATATTTATTGAATGTCATGCACTGGTCTATGTATTGGGATATATAGCCAAGACTACCAAATATCACAAAGCTTTACATTCTTATGTGGGGAAAGAGTTAATAAACAAAAGACACTAACCAACCAGGGAACCACTGAAAAAATTTTTTTAAATTTTAAAAAGACATAAGTAAACTAAAATATGTTAAAAGACAAGTGCAGGAGAGCAGAGTAAGGGGGATGAAAACTACAGAGGATTTGCAATACTTTGAGCTTAGAAGACTAGCCAAAGAGGAGAATGAGGTCAGATTTCAAATGGTGTCCCTCAAAAATTACATTCAATTGCAGGAAAAATAAGAAGAGTCACACTGTGCTTATATGAAATTTGTGTAAAATTTGACAAATCCAAATTTCCTGGGAACACACAGCTCATTTTCCATATTGATCTCCTTCACCATTGTTCAAAATTATTGACCCAAATGTGCTATACAGAATATATAAAAAGATATAAAATGACTTAGCCAGAGGCAGAACAAAGGGAACTACAAGGGACAAAGCAAAACAGATGACAGCAAAAATCGTTGCAAATCAGTCCCTTAGGAAAGGGCAAATTCAAGAGGACTTTAAATGCGACTCAATTTTTTTTCTTAGAAAAGTTGGCTCTAGGTTAAGGATGATATAAAAGTTTCATTTCTAGTAACAACCTCAAACAACTGGCAAGGCCTCTCCGGAGCACTGCATTGAGAGAGCTCTGGGTCCTGTGGGGAATTAATTAGACATTTCTGCCATGGGCTCAAGATGGGGCACTGCAGGCATGCAAGCCCCTCATTTGCCTTTCCTTCCCTAGGTTGATCTTAGTGCTTTAAAAATATCAGTAATCACTCACTGGCAACCTACTAAGCAAAAGAAAAGCAACACTAGGAACAGTGGAGGGATGTGGAAATACAGAGTTAGGCTCCAGTCCTAAAGGAGTTTATAATCTAATTGGGAAGAAGGACAAATGTATAAAAGATAACACTGGATGGCAGCAAATGACTAAATTCCTAAAATTTCAGTATGGAGATTCAGGTGCCAGGAAACTACTACAGGAAAAGACAGCCAAGAAAGATTTTATGGAGGACACAGCTCTGAACTAGGCTTGGAAGAATGCACATCACTAAAATAACTGGAAAGAGGAAGGACTGGTCTCAACAAAGATGGGGAAAAAGGAAGAGGTAGGGTGTGTTCAAGAATGAGGAACAGACACTTCTCAAAAGAAGACATTTATGCAGCCAAAAAACACATGAAGAAATGCTCATCATCACTGGCCATCAGAGAAATGCAAATCAAAACCACTATGAGATATCATCTCACACCAGTTAGAATGGCAATCATTAAAAAGTCAGGAAACAACAGGTGCTGGAGAGGATGCGGAGAAATAGGAACACTTTTACACTGTTGGTGGGACTGTAAACTAGTTCAACCATTGTGGAAGTCAGTGTGGCGATTCCTCAGGGATCTAGAACTAGAAATACCATTTGACCCAGCCATCCCATTACTGGGTATATACCCAAAGGACTATAAATCATGCTGCTATAAAGACACATGCACACGTATGTTTATTGCGGCACTATTCACAATAGCAAAGACTTGGAACCAACCCAAATGTCCAACAATGATAGACTGGATTAAGAAAATGTGGCACATATACACCATGGAATACTATGCAGCCATAAAAAATGATGAGTTCATATCCTTTGTAGGGACATGGATGAAATTGGAAACCATCATTCTCAGTAAACTATCGCAAGAACAAAAAACCAAACACCGCATATTCTCACTCATAGGTGGGAATTGAACAATGAGATCACATGGACACAGGAAGGGGAATATCACACTCTGGGGACTGTGGTGGGGTCGGGGGAGGGGGGAGGGATAGCATTGGGAGATATACCTAATGCTAGATGACACATTAGTGGGTGCAGCGCACCAGCATGGCACATGTATACATATGTAACTAGCCTGCACAATGTGCACATGTACCCTAAAACTTAGAGTATAATAAAAAAAAAAAAAAAAAAAAAAAAAAAAAAAAAAGAATGAGGAACAGACCAGCATGGCAGTCAAAGCAAAGGATTTGCACAGAGCACCAGATCATAAATGCCCTGAGAATCAGCCAATGGTTCTCCAGAGAAACAGAACCAGTAGGAGATGTATGTGTGTGTTTATAAAGAGACTTATTATAAGGAAGTGGCTTACGCAATTATAGAGGCCAAGAAGTCTCAAGATCTGCAGTCAGCAAGCTGGAGACCCAAGAGAGACAATAACATAAGTTATAGTTTGAGTCTGAATCTGAAGGCAGGAGAAGACCAATGTCCCAGGTTGAAAACAGTCAAACAGAGAGAGAGAGAGGAGAGTGAATTCTCCCTTACTCAGTCTTTTTGTACTACTGAAGCCTTCAATAGACTGAATAAGACCCATCCACACTGGGGAGGGCAGTCTGCTTTACTGAGTTTACCAATTCTAATGTTAATCTCATCCAGAAATCCTCTCACAGACATACCCAGAATGTTTAACTAAATACCTGGACACCCTGTGGCCCAGGCAAGTTGATACATAAAATTAATTAACCATCACGCCTTGAGTTGAGTCATTACCCAGTAGGCAACAGAGACCATGATAGGTGACATGAGCACAGCTATAGTTTGGAAAATCAATTGACTATGGAATGAAAATAGATTAGAGCAAGAAAAACTGGAAAGAGAAACAAAATGAAAAATATTATAATTGGCCATATAATAATAAGAGGCAGATCATTAACAACAAACATTTATAGGATTCTATTCAATATAAGGTGCTCTGGTAGGCAATTAAGATGCAGAGTTACTCTCAACTCCTTATGGTTTACTTTGATGTCAGGATCTAAACATAGACCTATCCAGCAGGAACTGGTTAGAAACAAGCCTATGGTCCAAAGGTCAGCAATGAGGGTATGGATTTAGGAATTATCTGTATACCCAAGACAACCAAGTCAAGAGTTTGCTCCTGGCATGCCAATATTGACAGAAACTCAGAACAGCAGGTTGAGTTAGCCAGACTGAGTCAGGAAATCCTGTCAAAACTACTCATTTTGTGATTCACTGTGAAGGAATGACCACTTCTCTGTGAAACCAATCCTAAGACATAATCAAGAGGCAGAATTACTTTAAGGACAAAAAAAACACTCTCCAATTGTTGCAAGCTGGTTCTTACTATCTATAGCAACTCCAGGGTGTACTTTTCAAATAGGACATGCAAGGTCCTAAACACTGTGAAGAAGTATAAGGAGAAAATTCAGAGGTCAAACTTAATCAAGCTGATAAGAAATTAACATTAACCATTAAGTTTAATCAGTAGGTAAATATCAAGTCAGTTGGTGTTTCCTGAAACAGATCAAAGTCAATGAATTCATGTTGTCAGAGTTTCTCTTGTTTTTTTTTTTTTTTTTTTTTTTAGAGATAGGTTCCTACTCTGTCACCAAGGCTGGAATGCAGTGACATCATCCTGTGTCACTGCAGCCTCAAACTCCTGAGCTGAAGTGATCCTCCTGCCTCAGCCTCCCAAGTAGCTGGGACTCCTGGGGTGAGACACCATACCGCCTAATTTTTTGTTGTTATTGCTGTTAAGACGGGTCTCACTATGTCTCCCAGGCTGGTGTCAAACTTCTGGCCTCAAGCAATCTTCCTACCTCTGCCTGCCAAAATGCCCAGGATTACAGGCATGAGCCATTGGGCCTGGCAGATTTTTTACAAGCAGTTAAACTACAACATCTTGCTTAAAATAAGCCAAAAGTACAAATGTTTTGTAGTATACACAAATTAGAGAGATTTAAAAATTCAACTTATCAAATAGTGACTTAGTGTTAGAGAATAAGCAATAATCAAGACTAATACATGGTCAGGTGTGGTGGTTCACACCTGTAATCCTACTGAGGCAGAAGAACAGGGTCTGGAGGCAGGGAACCTAAGGCTGATTCATGCTGACTTCCTAGAACTAAATCAAAAGGAAAACCCCAACTTTCCACACCCAAGTAACAAAAGGACCAGAGGCTATTCCCTTTGCAACCCCCATCTCCTTGTTCCGCATGACAGATAAAAATCTGAAAGTACCTCGGATTGGTCCCCTCCCAAAACCAATCAGGCTGGTCACAAGCCAAGTCTTCCTTTGCATAGAAATATAATTTTGTAACTTCACTTCAGCCTCTGATTGGTCACTTTCCACAACCAATCAGATGTTTGCATAGGGTGTAACTCTGTAACTTCACTTTAGCCTCTGCTTGGTGCTTGGTCGCTTTCTGCAACCAATCAGACAGATCTTGGGCCACTACTTCATTTACATAGGGTGTATATCAAGTAACCAATGGGAAGCCTCTAGAGGGCATTGAAACCCCAGAAAATTCTGAAACCAGGCCCATGAGCTGCTTGCTCGGGCCTGCTCCCACCCTGTGAAGTGTGCTTTCGCTTTCAATAAATCTCTGCCTTTGTTGCTTCATTCTTTCCTTGCTTTGTTTGTGCATTTAGTCCAATTCTTTGTTCAAAGCACCAAGAACCTGCACACCCTCCACTGGTAACACTAGCACTTTGGGAGGCCAAGACAGGGGAATCTCTTGGGCCGGGGAGTTTAAGACCAGCCTGAGCAACATGCCAAAACCTTGTCTCTACAAAAAAATACAAAAATTAGCCAGGCATGGTGGCATGCACCTGTAGTCCCAGATACTCAGGAGACTGAGGTGGGAGATTCGCTTGAGCCTAGGAAGCTGAGGCTGCAATGAGCCCAAATTGCACTAGTGCACTCCAGCCTGGATGACAGAGTGAGACCCTGCTTCAAAAAAAAAAGGATAATACATTAGACATGTTGTATTTTCCCACAGAAAAGATCAAAATATGAATATATACAAACTATAAGTTTCCCGTGTCCTAAGAAATTCTTATTTTATTAAGAAAAATTTTTATACCAAGAAAATCAAGAAACATTTTTTCTAATAAATAAATATGGAGACATCATCCTTATTTTGAGGATGTACAAAGTTTTCTATTAAATGACCTGAAGAAGATCATACTTTTAAAACATTCCTTATATCACTATATACTTAGGCATAAATACACAAATGTGTACAATACATATGTGCATATATAAATATAGGGGGTATGTATGTGTGTATAGAAATTACATTTGTAAACATATTTTTCTATACTCATTCTAGTATATTATAAAGAAAATCAACCTAAAATGAATGGAATCCAAATAAAAGTTCCATGAACACAAACAAAATAGAAGATATTCATTTTGAGGAATAAGACACACTCCTCTAATGAAATGGTTATGAAAAAAAGCTTGGACTAAATAAAAATATTAATCAACTCTTTTAGACATTCAGTAAAAACTTTGCCACAGGAATTCCTGAAATGTTCCCACCTCAATGAGCCTGAGTCATGAAATTTAGCCAAAGTATCTTATTTCACATTTTCCACACACAGAGGGAAATCAGTTCCTAGAACTTTCTACAAGCCAAAAGATCCTAAAATGGACCCATGACTAATATTTCAACAGAGGTAAACTTTAACAATTTAAGGAGAAGAGCTAAAATACACTCTGCATTCTGCAAAACCTAGTGGATTTTCTGAACTCCTTAATGGCATGTCCTAAAATAATGTTCTTAGGAAAATGTTAAAAAAAAAAAAACACTATGCTCCATAAAAGCTAATTAGCAGCTCAACCAACAGCTGCAGAGTATTTTTATAGCTGTTACCAATTACTATCTTCTCTTGGGGAAAACATTAAAACCAAAAAGAACCTGAAATGTGAGGAAATGAGGTGAACCTTACCTAAAAGCTCAGCACCTTTTGCTGTTATGACCTCTTATTTCAGTGGCTGGTCATCTATTAATAATTTCTGTCTTCAGTCTTGTGCATTCAGAAAGAAAGAATATGTTCATATAACTAAAAATGAAGGGACACTACTAGAGGAAATGTAAATAAAAGAAATTTAACATTTTCATAACAGTGACTCACAAACCTTTCCTACAGAAAACACAAGTGTACAATGATAACACTTTCAAGGATGTTCTCTGAAGCACTGTTCTTAATATAGAAAAATGGAAAACAATCCAAATTCCCAACAAAAGGCTGTTTAAATAAACCATGTTATAGGGCCAGGCATGGTGGCTCACGCCTGTAATCCCAGCACTTTGGGAGGTCAAGGCAGGTGGATCACCTGAGGTCAGGAGTTTGAGACCAACCTGGCCAAACCCTGGCTCTCCTAAAAATACAAGAATTAGCCAGACATGGTGATGCACACCTGTAGTCCTAGCTACTCAGGAGGCTGAGGCAGGAGAATTGCTCGAACCTGGGAGGGAGAGGTTGCAGTGAGCTGACATTGCACCACTGCACTCCAGCCTGGGTGACAGAGCAAGACTCCATCTCAAAAAAAAACAAAAAAAAAAACCAAAAAAACTATATCTATTCAATGCATTACTATACAGCCAGTAAAAAAAACAAAATGAGAATGATGTGCATGTATGGTCATAAAAACATTTTCAAGGTATATTATTGAGTTAAAAATAAAAACCAAGTTGAAAGTTGCATAGGATTACCCCAGTAGTTATTAACAACCACGTTAATAATAAACATTTTTAAATAGAGGGAAAAATGAAGGGAAATATATCTATTTATAGCAGTTTATCCAGAATATAACATTGCAGTGTACTTTAACTTTTAACATTATATATTTCTATATTGTTTAGAATTTGAATAATATGTATCATGTATGTAATAAGAAAATTAACTCTCATTTAAGTTAGTGATATAATTGGAAAGGAAGTAGGAGAAAATCATATTTATAAAGAAAAGGATAAACTTAAGGGTGTTAACTTTTTATAATAGCTCTAAAATATCATTTGTCTCTACCTGTCTTTTAGAAGGCAGTAGTATCCTCACTCTCAGAACTTCAAAATTAAGCAAAACACATAGATACTGGAAAAGTCCCCTTAGCATCTCCCCTTAGTAATGCCTTCTGAGAATAAAAGTTTAGTCCAAATTCCAGTATTTATCAAATTCAACTGGGCAAGAATGCCAGCTTCTAAACATTGCAGACAAACCGCACATCTCTACTTCTAAGTAAAAGTAATTACAGAATTAACAACAAAAGGGTACAGATTCTGCAGACTCGAAAAACCATTTGAAGCATTTTCAAAATGGAAATTTAAGGAATTAGATAAAAATACTTTTGAATCTATAGTCCAGTAACCTGTTCAAAGATTGTAAAAACTAGATAGAGGCCAGACGCGGTGGCTCAAGCCTGTAATCCCAGCCCTTTGGGAGGCCGAGGCGGGCAGATCACCCAAGGTCAGGAGTTTGAGACCAGCCTGGCCAACATGGTGAAACCCCATCTCTACTAAAAAAATACAAAACTTAGCCGGGCATGGTGGCGCATGCCTGTAGTCCCAGCTACTCGGGAGGCTAAGGCAAGAGAATCACTTGGACCTGGAAGGCGGAGGTTGCAGTGAGCCGAGATTGCACCACTGCACTCCAGCCTGGGCGACAGAGTGAGACTCCGTCTCAAAAAAAAAAAACAAACAAACACTAACTAGATAGAAGGCAAAAGAACTGCCTAGAAAGGAAACTGAAGAATCACTAGCAAGGTAAAACTTTCTACCTGCCTGGGAAAGGTTTGTCTCTACAGTTGACCTTGTCTGGGAGAGGTTTGTCTCTACAGTTATGTGACCAAGAGCATAACATTTAAACTCCTACACCTCAATTTCCTCACCTGTAAAATGGAAGAACTGGGAATACATAATTTTGGCTCTAAAATTCTGACAAAAGACCTTTGCTCCATCCTTGCCAAAGGGCTTTTTTTTTTAAGTAATACATATGAGGCCAGGCGCGGTGGCTCATGTCTGTAATCCCAGCACTTTGGGAGACTGAGGCAGGCGGATCACTTGAGGCCAGGAATTCGAGACCAGCCTGGCCAACATGGTGAAACCCTATCTCCACTAAAAATACAAAAATTAGCCAAGCATGTTGGTGCATGCCTATAGTCCCAGCTACTCGGGAGGTTGAGGCAGGAGAATGGCTTGAACCCAAGAGGCGAAGGTTGCAGTGAGCTAAGATTGTGCCACCGCACTCCAGCCTGGGCAACAGAGCGAGACTCTGCCTCAAAAAATAAATAAAGTAAAATAAAGTAATACATACGTACACAGTATAAAATATTATCTAATATTATAAGGTACATAGCCAAAAACAGCAGATTCCTGTCTGGCTCCTCCTCACCCCTGAGTTTCATTCTCCGAAAGAAGGTCCTTCAACTCTTTTAGCTATTTCTTCTGGTAATTACTTCTATATTTGTAAATCATGCACTTATACTGCTATTTACAGAGTTTTTCAATTTTAGACATTGCCAAAATTCCTTATTCAATCTATCAAGGTATTTATTCACCTACGCCACTTCCCAAGATCTCCCTCCCAAATTTAATGGAGGTTACTTCAATTTTATTGCACAGCTATACTGTTGAGATGCCAAGGCTATACAGACTATATGTTACATGTGTACACACACTTACACATACACATATATGTACATATTCATATATAGTCCTGTCATCCTGTCTCCACATGAGCTCATATTTTGGTTAATAAGAAATAAGAGGGCCAGGCACGGTGGCTCACGTCTATAATCCCAGCACTTTGGGAGGCCAAGGCAAGTGGATCACCTGAGGTCAGGAGTTCGAGACCAGCCTGACCAACATGGAGGAACCCCATCTCTACTTAAAATACAAAATTAGCCAGGCGTGGTGGTGCTTGCCTGTAATCCTAGCTACTCGGGAGGCTGAGGCAGGAGAATCCCTTGAACCCGGGAGGCAGAGGTTGCGGTGAGCTGAGATCACGCCATTGCACTCCAGCCTAGGCAACAAGAGCAAAACTCCATCAAAAAAAAAAAAAAAAGAAAGAAAGAGAGAGAGAGAGAAAGAAAGAAAGAAGGGAGGCAGGGAGGGAGGGAGGGAGGGAGGGAGGGAGGGAGGAAGGAAGGAAGGAAGGAAGGAAGGAAAGAAAGGAAAGAAAGAAAGAAAGAAAGAAAAAGAAAAGCCCATTTCACATCCAACCACTTCACAAAATGTAACAAGGAAAAAAGTGAAAGCATGGGCTGTAAATCAGAAATCCTGAATTCAGGTCTCAGTCCACAATATACAGGAGCAAAGAGTATGCCCATAAAAGTCCCTTATTATTGGCCGAACACAGTGGCTCACGCCTGTAATCCCAGCACTTTGGGAGGCCGAGGTGGGTGGGTCACCTGAGGTCAGGAGTTTGAGACCACCCTGGCCAACATGGCGAAACCCCATCTCTACTAAAAATACAAAAAAAATTAGCTGAGCATGGTGGTGGGCACCTGTAATCCCAGCTACTCAGGAGGCTGAGGTAGGAGAATCGCTGGAACTGGGAGGCAGAGGTTGCAGTGAGCCGAGATCACACCATTGCACTCCAGCCTGGGCAACAAGAGTGAAACTCCGTCTCAAAAAAGTCCCTTATTATCTCTGAACCTCATCTGCTTTCCTCCTGTGTAATCTAAACACAATGGCATCTACTACAAAATGGTTAAATCACAAGGCACAAACATGGTACATGAAAGCACTCTGTGAAACATAAAGCACTACAGAACTGTTCACTTCTGTTATTGTTTTCATTAAGAGATCCCTATAAATGAAGTTCCTGGAGTTTCTTGTCACTCTTGAGCACTGTTCCCCTACCTGGGCTAAGAACCAAGGGTTGGAAGTTGCTAAAAATAAGGATGAAGTAGATCTAAATTGTGTTTCAATGGCAGAATCTGATCCAGATCTTCACTGGGCCTACGTATCACCCTAGAAGACAGATGTACACAGAATAAAGATCAAGTGTCTAAACAGATTAAATAAAGCAATTTTGCTTTATATTTGCATGGAGAAAGGAGGTTCCTTATTAAATTTTCTTTATGAAAGTAATACAAGAGGCCAGGCATGGTGGCTCACACCTGTAATCCCAGAATTTTGGGAGACCAAGGCAGGCGGATTGCTTGAGTCCAGGAGCTCAAGGGCAGCCTGGGCAACGTGGCAAAACCCTGTCTGTATGAAAATACAAAAAATTAACAGAGTGTGATGGCATGAACCTGTGGTCCCAGCTACTCAGGAGGCTAAGGTGGGAGGACTGCCTGAGCCCAGGAGATCAAGGCTGCAGTGAGCCGAGATCATGCCACTGAACTCTAGCCTGGGCCAGAGAGAGAGAGAGACCCTAACTTTAAAAAAAAAAAAATATATATATAATTTCACTCCTCAGAGGCAATTCTTGTTTTTTCTCATTTTACCTCCATATCTCTACATAATATATTTGTACATCTGCTTCTTGTTTGCAGTCATTATCTATCAAGTTCCTATTAAAGAAAGAACTTAGCAGAGAAAGTATTTTGAACCAATCTTGGGAGGCAGAGTACAGAACTGTCCAGCAATGCATCACTCTGACTATGTAAAAATAAAACACTCCTTTTATTTCTAGTCTTCAAGTCCTCCATTAAAAGTCCTACACAATGTCTTTATATGAGAGCCAAGAAAAAAGGTAGCTGGGCAGTTGGACCTAAATTTTTAGACCACTCTCAATCACTCTCTGAATCCACTTCAGTGATGTCCAGTTTCTCTGCCCCTTTCCAGCCACCCTACACAGTTTAATCCTGTTCCTTGTCCTACAGGACAAATGATAAATAGGACCCCAAACTTAATTTATTTCAAGACAGGCATGGACATAATTCTTATGAGCTCTGCGGAAAGGGATTAACTGGAACTAAAAAGATATCAACCTTTAATTATGCGAAAAGTTACCTAAAGCCAACAAGTATACTGTATTAAAGAGTAAATTTATGGACTAAATATCCTGCTCAATTTCGGTCCAAAGAAGACCTTTGAAGTTCTCCAAACGTGGACTTCAGCTGTGGTTCACTACATGTGGACAGCTTCGGGGACAGCATCCTGCCTAGTGCCAGGTGTACAAGTGAACTTGAGGTCAGGCAGGTGACCCTGACAAGCAGGCATAATACATTAAGGAGAGGAAATCTTCCCTCTCATTAATCAACAGGATAAAGGTAATTAAGCAGGAATTATTTTTCAATGACCTATATAATTTCATCAGGGCTGCTATGACTATTAGCAGGGAGCAGCTGACTTCCTAATGAGATGAATTTGATAGCACAGCCCTTCCAGAGAAGCCAAGGGAGCAAGCCCAATCTATAGGGAAGCAACAATTGTTAGGCATTGTTTACTCCTCCTCCTGAAAGCTGTCTCTCCTTCTCAACATTTGGCTCTTTCCCTTCAGGGGGGTTTCCCTGTCCCTGGATAGCTGGGGCTGCAGCATCTGCTGAATAGTGGAAGCTAGATCTGCTGTGAATGGGTGGGTCCAGGAGGCTGGGACACTAATTCACTAGACCTGCTCATGTGATTCCCAAAGTCCCAAGCCAACAAGGCTACCGCCGCCTGCACCAACACCTCGCTCTGACCAGGCCTGAAATAAGACACCAAGGTAGTTCTTCCCACTCCCTAGCAGAAGCGGAGTTAACAAGGGACCTTTGTTGAGCCAGAGGAAACACAAACACATACACACTATCAATAATAACCACGACTTGAACGCAGTTTCATCACAGAATTTACGAAATTGAGCAACAGCTACCTAACCAGTAAGTCCTTACACCAGGAAAGGGCTGCAAACCTCAGAGGGGCACCGCCTCTGTCTCCTGTGTAAGCAAGTTGATTTACAGGGGAAACCTGAACTCCACATCTCTTTGCCTTTTCCTGTGCCTCCCAGAGGACCCTGGGACCAAGGAATGGGATGGAGGGCCCTAATGACATATTCCTTCGTCAAAACAAGCTGGCTCTCTCTCTCCCAGGGTCAGTCACCGCGTTACGCCCCGTCCCGGAGCCCGAAACCCTAGAAGTCACCTCCTCCCCCCTGCGCCCCCGCCCGACGCAGCGACCTCGTTTGGAACATCCCCAGCCGGCCCCCAGCCCAATGCCTGCTCCCTCAGCCCAATGCCCGCACCCCCTGCCCAGTTGGCGGATGCAGAGAAGGGACATTTCGACTCTCCCTCCTCCTTCAACCCTCTAAAATAAAAGAATCCCTCAAGCGCAAATCTCCGGCCAGCACAGCACCTACCTGTCCCCGGCCGTGGCTCCTCCTCCCCGAGCAGTGGGGCTCGCTGGACAAGTGTCCTCAGATAGTCCAGAAAGTTTGCTCTGCGGTCCCGGGGACGCCTGCGCGGGACCCAGTGAGGAAAGCCGGGCTGGCTCCTCGCACCTCGGGCGGCCGCCGCTCGAAAGTCTTGGCCCAGGTCCTCCAGGCCCGGCTCAAACTCAGGAGTGCCCGGGAAGAATGTAGGTCGTGAGAAGGTCGGAGCGCAACTTTTCGAAGGTGCGTCAGCCGCGGGCTGAGGCGCGTGGGTCACTGCCTCCCCCCAGCCTCTCCCTAGTGAGCGCGGGGGGGGCGGGGGCGGGGGCGGGGGCCGGGGCGGGGCAGGGGCGGGGGTGGGGCCCAACCTGCCTGGAGGCCTCGGGGAGCGCGCCCCGGCCCCGCCCCCGCCGCCGCCGGCCCCGCCTCTGCCGCTGGGACACGCCGCCGCCAGGTGCGCCGGGGACTTAGGCAGTGCCGCGCCGCACGGCCCGCGCCGGTTTCCAAGGTGAAGGAGGAGGAGCCTCTGAGGGAAAGTTTCCACAGAAACTTGAGCTGGGCGCAGTGTAGCACTCGCGCCCTTGGGGGCTAGCGTTTGGCCGGAGCTACACACTCTTTACTCACGCACGCACACCGCCGTACACAGCACAATCGTTCACCGTCCCGCCAAAGGCTCGTCTCTCGGGTTCTGCCTAGTGGAAGGAGTCGGACAACGCCGCACGTCACGGGCGTTTCGGATTTCTTGCTTCCCAAAGGTTTGACGGCGGCCACCGGCGCCCCGGCCCAGCTCTGCTTTCCTTTGCTGACTCCTTCCTTTAGGTGTGAATTTTAAAATGCTGATACCGCCCCAAGAGAGCTGAGTCAAGTGAGGCAAACGTTCGCCTGTTGTTCTCCTGACAGACTCCCTGCAGTGGGCAGGGGAAATGTGGCCTTGGCCGACATTAATGAAGTGCCAGGATGGAGGGAGGGGGCCTGCTGATTTGTTCTGTTTTACTTTTTAAGGGTAACTAGAGCGTTACTGGAGTCGTCTGTGGGTTTGGGGAGTATGTGGCGCGTGTGTGTGTCACACATTTCACTGGCAACTCCCGCCAACCCCTTCCCAAGAAATGAAGGCTCTAATGTGGGCAGTTCTGCAACAAAGGTGAAACTTCCCCAAATCACGATTCCCCGCAAGATGAGAGAGCAGGTGCAGCATCCATTTTCCCACTATCACGCTTGAGATGGTGGCTTTGGGCACTGCCGGGTGCCCCGACATCCTTCCCAGAGCCCAGCCTTCCCACCCAGGCCCGGCCCTGCGCGGCCGCCTGCCTTTGCATCAGAGACCGCGGCTGTGCCATTGCCAAGGTGGGCAGCGCCGCCTCGCTTCCCCATTCCTCCGTCTCCCACGCCTCTTGCGTGTTTGAGTCGCGAAGTGATGGACTTTAAATCTCAGAGGAGGAATGAGAAACTTGGTTAGTGGCTCTCTTGGCATGTTCGTAGCCCTGTGGTTGAAGTGGCTGAAACCTGCGTTGAGCCTCAGTCCAAGCAGCTGGGGCCACACCAGTTTGCAAAAGCGGATGTGGCAGTTTCCACCGCAGCAGCAGCCTGCTGGCGCCTCATCAGATTCTCCTTTGGAGGAAGTATCTTCTTCCCTTCATTCTCGGTGAATGGCATCCAGAGATAACCAAAATCAGGTGTATCTAGTTTCAAGTTCTGTCTTGCAACCGTGATAATTGGAGGATGCAAACTTTACACTTTCTTCTCTAGCTGTCTACCACCACTGCTGCGCTTGTGGATGACTGCAGGAACACCGGGTACTTGCCACAAGTATCTCTCCAGATTCATCAGCCTTTCACCTGTGACAAGCTCAGTCAAGAAGTGGCTCCTAAGTAAAAGCTGGGGAAGAACAAGGAAGATAGAGCTCAGAGTAGAAAGCTGTGAAGTTCTGCACAACAGGTCCCCTTGGCCTGCTCTAACAGTTGGAAGGTGGGGGAAGCATTCATTTACTCAACAAATATATACTGAGTGCCTTTTGCATGCTAGGCACGCTTCTAGGGGTTGAGGACACAGCAGAGAGCACAAACAACAATTCCAGCCCTCGTGGAGCTTACCTCTTCCACGTGGGAAAGACAGATGGTAAATGTATAAGGACAATATATGGACTGCTGTATGATTAGAAATGCTATGGAGAGGCTAGGAGTGCTGTCTCATGCCTGTAATCCCGCAGTTTGGGAGGCCAAAGGAGGAGGATCACTTGAGGCCAGAAGTTGGAGACCCAACCTGGGCAACATAGTAAGACCCCCTATCTACAAAAAGTTTAAAAATTAGCCAGGCATGGTGGCGTGCACCTGTAGTCCTAGCTATCCAGGAGGCTGAGGTGGGAGGATCACTTGAGCCCACTGCATTCCAGCCTGGGTGACAGAGTGAGACCCTGTTTTGAAAGAAAGAAAGAAATGCTGTGGATAAAAATTAAGCAGAGAGGGTACATAGAAAGTATGAGGGGTGCTATGTTCGGAGAGGGGTGATGATCAAGGAAAGCTTCTGGAGGAGGTAACATTTGAGGAACGACTTGAGGGAGGTTAGGGATATCTGAGCAGACAACTTCCCAGGCAGAAAGCATAGCAAATGTAAAGGCCCTGAGGCAGGAGTATGCCTAAGTGTACTAGGAGCAATCCAGAAGGCACCATGAAAGAATGGAGAAGATGAAGTCAAAGAAGTGAAAGGTGGGGGTGATGCAGATCAGGTAAGGCTTTTACTCTGAGTGAGTTGGTTGGAGCCATTGGAGGATTTTGTGTAGAAAAGTGACACTTTCTGACATTGTAATTGGATCACTTTGACTGCTGGGTTAAGAATAAACAGTAGGGTGTAAGGGTAGAAGCACAGAGACTGGTTAAGAGGCTACTAAAATAATCTAGGGTCAGCCGGGTGCGGTGGCTCATGCCTGTAATTCCAGCACTTTGGGAGGCCAAGGTGGGTGGGTCACAAGGTCAGGAGATCAAGACCATCCTGGCCAACATGGTGAAACCCCGCCTCTACTAAAAATACAAAAAATTAGCCAGGTGTGGTGGCACGCACCTGTAGTCCCAGCTACTCAGGAGGCTAAGGCAGGAGAATCACTTGAACTCAGGAGGCGGAGGTTGCAGTGAGTAGAGGTTGCAGTGAGCCGAGATTGCACCACTGCACTCCAGCCTGGGCGACAGAGCGAGACTCCATCTCACAAAAAGATAATAATAATAATTGAGGGACAAGAAGATAGAGATGTGGACCAGAGAAATAGTGGTAGAGATGATAAGCTGATGGTTTCCTCACATTGGATGTGGGGTATAAAGGAAGGAGATGAGAAGGACTCTGAGGCTTTTGGCCTGGGCAGCATAAGGATGGAACTGCTATAACAAAGTTGGAGAAGACTTCAAAAGGAGGTTAGGGTAAAATCAAGGCAGGAAGGAGAGGCGCATAATTTGAATGTGGGCAGCGTAAGGACGGAACTGCTATAACAAAGTTGGAGAAGACTTCAAAAGGAGGTTAGGGTAAAATCAAGGCAGGAAAGGAGAGGCGCATAATTTGAATGGTCTTCAGTTTCTTCAACTTATAAAATGAAAGTAATACCTACTTTGTTAAGGTTGTTTTAGGATGACAAATTAGCATAGTGAAGTGTATAACACAATGCCTAATACATGATAGACACTTAAGAATGTTAGTTCCCTCTCTACAAATATGAATTTCATTCATATCCATTATGCCCTCTGGGAGTGAAACAGACTCATTCTTTTGAGGAAATAAGTCTTGCTAAAGGTAAAGGGGCTGTCTCCTTCTCCCATTCTTGCCATATGACACTGTCTGCTCTCTCTTTGTCTTCCACCATGAAGACAGGCATGGTAGCTCATGTGGAAGCTTCCCGAGGCCCTCACCCAGAAGCAGATGCTGGAGCCATGCTTGTACAGCTTGCAGAACTGTAAGCCAATTAAAACTCTTTTCTTTATAAATTAAAATAGATAAATAAAAATAAAGGATAAGCAGATGTGGTGGTACGGGCCTATAGTCCCAACTGCTTAGGAGGCTGAGGCAGAAGGATCAATTGAGCCCAGGAGGTCGAGGTTGCAGTGAGCTTTGAGTGCCACTGCACGCCCACCTGGGCAACAGAGTGAGACCCTGTCTCTTCTTAAAAAAAAAAAAAGTTGGAAAATATCTATTACATGGAAATATATTTATAATATTGTATAAAGTAAGTCTACTATAAAAGTAAGTGTGTAAAGTAAGATTCTCTTTACAAATATTAATAATGATTATCTCAGCCAGGCATGGTAGCTTATGCCTGTAATCCCAGAACTTTGGGAGGCCGAGGCAGGTGGATCACCTGAGGTCAGGAGTTCGAGACCAGCCTGACCAACAAGGTGAAACCCCGTCTCTACTAAAAATACAACAATTAGCTGGGCGTGTTGGCAGGCGCCTGTAATCCCAGCCACTCGTGAGTCTGAAGCAAGAGAATCACTTGAACCTGGGAGGCGGAGGTTGCAGTGAGCCAAGATTGCACCATTGCACTTCAGCCTAGGCAACAAGAGTGAAACTCCATCTCAAAAAAATCATAATAATAATAATGATTATCTCAGTACTAGGATGACAGTTTATTTTTATTCTCTGTGCTTTTCTCTACTTCCAAGTTTTCTGCCATAGGAAGGTATCACTTTCTCTCAGGAGTGGAATTGCTGGATGATAGGCTGTATATACAATGAGATTTAGTTGATACTGCCAAACAATTTTCCAAAGTGATTATACCAATTTATGCTCCCACTGACAACATATAAGAATTCCAATATGGAGCAGTGCGTTTTTTAACAGCATCATCCAGTTAAACAGCAATTAATTTGAACCTACTGCTTTAGAAGTTAATTAAGCAAAAGTTAAAAATAAGTATATTGGCTGTAAATGCATATATTAGTAACAGTAGCCGTTTCTAAATCATGTTTTTTATTAATGTATTTCATTTTATTCTTTTTGTTTTGTTTTGTTTTGTTTGAGACGGAGTTTCACTCTTTGGTCCAGGCTAGAGTGCAGTGGTGCAATCTCGGCTCACTGCAACCTCCGCCTTCCAGTTTCAAGTGATTCTCCTGCCTTGAAATTGCAATCCCGAGTAGCTGGGATTGCAGGCGCCCACCATCATGCCCAGCTAATTGTTGTATTTTTAGTAGAGATGGGGCTTCACCATGTTGACCAGGCTGGTCTTAAACTCCTGACCTTGTGATCGGCCTGCCTCGGCCTCCCAAAGCGCTGGGATTACAGGCATGAGCCACCATGCCTGGCCCCTCTTTATTCATTTTTTATACTCTTCAGCTCTGTTATTATAGTACTTTAAAGCACTGAAATTATATTTCTTTATTGTAGAAGCCAGTCAAGACTTCTCCCTCTTTTTCTTACCACCTTTATTTCCATTTTAAAATGTAATTATATTTGAAATTACATTTTTTTCAAATTATTAAACGTGTTAAATACTAGATATTCAAGATTACATGAACAAAGGAGAGAAGTATTTCATCATTCACACACACACACATACATACACAAATTCTTCTTTCACAGAGCTCATAGGACTATAGATCTTAACACTCCTATGAGGAAGTGGACAAAGTGCATCATCTGTGTTTAAGAAAAGCAGAAGCTAAAATGCAACATAGGGAAGTTGTCCCAGATACCTTGGAATTGAAAGTAAAAAGTACATGAAGACATTATCATCTGTAGTCAGATTAAATCTAAATTTAAATTATCTTCTGTAGTTGCTTCTCTTAAAAAAAGAGCTCAAAAATGAACAATGTGTATTCTGTTATAATAGTAATCATGCTGTCAAGAAATTCTTTTTTCTTTTTTTTTTTTTGAGATGGAATCTCGCTCTGTCACCCAGGCTGGAGTGCAGTGGCACGATCTCGGCTCACTGCAAGCTCTACCTCCTGGGTTCACGCCATTCTCCTGCCTCAGCCTCCCAAGTAGCTGGGACTACAGGCTCCCACCACCACACCCAGCTAATTTTGTGTATTTTTAGTAGAGATGGGGTTTCACCGTGTTAGCCAGGATGGTCTCGATCTCCTGACCTTGTGATCCGCCCACCTCGGCCTCCCAAAGTGCTGGGATTACAGGCATGAGCCACTGTGCCTGGCCAAGAAATTCTTTTTTCTAACAAGTACAATTAATAAAAATATGTTAGCAGAGAGGGTAGTGGCAGAGATTCCCACAATAGTACCCAGTGCTCAGTCTGGTGGAGTTGGCAGTACATGCTGCAGCATTTTTGCCAAATAGTGGTAATAATGGCATGTCCATTGGAGTAGATCTATAATATGATTTGGGTGTTGTTCCTAGTTATATAGCTGTCAAGTTTACATAACCTCTGTGGACAACTTTATAGATTCAATAAGCTACTTAATATTATAATAAGTTATTTTCTTTTAAATCAGCTGCATATGTTTTCTGCAGTTTGTAGCAGAACTCTTGACAGAGCTGTATGTTACATTTATTTTTGTCTGTTTTCAATGGCCAAGACATCAAGTACTGTTTTGCAAGGTAGTGGTCATAGTGGGTGTATTAGTCCGTTCTCACACTGCTATAAAGATACTACCTGAGACTGAGTGATGTATAAAGGAAAGGGGTTTAATTGACTTACAGTTCCACATGGCTGAGGAAGCCTCAGAAAACTTACAATCATGGTAGAAGGCGAAGGGGAAGCAAGCACCTTCTTCACGAGGCAGCAGGAGAATGAGAGTGTGAGCATCAGATAATGTGAGAACTCACTCACTACCAGGAAAACAGCATGGGTGAAACCGCCCCCGTGATCCAGTCACCTCCCACCAGGTCCCTCCCTTGATACATGGGGATTACAATTTGAGAAGAGATTTGGATGGGGACACAGAGCCAAACCATATCAGTGGGGATCATTGTGTTGTTATCAAACCTAAAGGGAATACAAGGTAGACACTACTAGTTGCCTATTCAATTTCAAGTCTCTATTTTTATCTTTCTACCAGAACGCCCTCCCCGCTTTTTTATAGCAGCAAAATGCAACCACCTTTGCAACTACAGGTAGTTATATGACACAGTCCAAGCCAATGGAATGTAAGAGGATGTCCTTGCATGTACTTTCAGAAAGCCCAGCTGGCTTGGTTCCATGAATCTTTGCCCTTCTTTCCATCCACTTCTTCCTGCTTGGACATTGGTTACCTGGAGAAGCAGAAGCCATTTTAAGATGATGAAAGCAAAAGTTAAATGTATGAGATGATGGTGCAGAAAGCCAAAAGGGGCCTCCAGAACACTGAGCTTTGTGGAGTCGTGTACCATAGCTGTATTGCCGACCTCTGAACTTCCTGCTGAGATAAAAAACAATCCTTATGTGTTTATACTACTTTTATTTCAGTTTCTTTTAAGTATAGCAAACACATTCCAAATAATATGCATCTGAAGTTTTTGGTTTTGTTTTTAAATTTTTTTTTTAGGGATGGGTTCTGGCTGCGTAGTGGCTAGAGTGTAGTGGCTATTCTTAGGTGCGGTCATAGCTCACTACAGCCTCTAACTGGCCTCAAGCAATCCTCCCACCTCAGCTTCCAGGGTAGCTGGGATTACAGGAGAGCACCACACTGAAGTTTCTGTTAAATAGAATGTTTGCTGTAGATTTTTAGTTGATGTCCTCTGTTAGGTTGAAAACCTTCCTTTATTTTCTTGTGAAATTTCTAAGAGATTTTTAAATCATTAACTGGTATTGAACTTTATAAAATGATTTTTCTGTGTCTGAGATGATCATGTGATTATTTTTCCTGTTTATGTCCCTTGATGTGATGATTTTTATTGTAGATCTTCCTTTATTGAACCAAATTTACGTTATTTATATTAACCCTATTTGATTGTAATATATTTTTAGTAGGGTATTAGACTCTGTTACCTAACATTTTACTTAGCATTATTTTGCATCTATGTTCATAAGTAAAATAGGAGTTTTTTTCTTTATGTGACTAGGTATCAACATTATATTGGCCTTATAAATTATGTTGAACACTTTGCCTATTTTTTCTGTTTTTCCAGGGCAACTTGTATTGTAGGAATCATCAGGCAATAAGATGCAGGGAAAACTCTGGATACTGCATACCCAAAGTTGAATACATTTTTCTTCTTTTTGAAACTTTTAATACACATAAAGACAAGTGCACGTATTATAAGTATATAGTTCAGTTTATTTCGACAACCTGAATAAACCCATGTAATCAGCACCCAGATCAGGAAACAGAATCTGGAAGCTTCCTTGTGTCCCCTTCCAACCACTATTTCCCCTCAAAGTTAATCCTGACTTCTAACTGCATAGATTTGTCTTGTCTATTTTTGTACTTTATATAACTAGAATAATAGAATAGATACTCTTTTGTATCTGTCTCTCTGGTTCTTATTTGTAAGATTCATCCATATTGTTGATGTTGATGTGCTTATGGGTAGTTTATTATTTGCTGTATATAGTATTTCATTGGGTAAATACTCCATGAATTAGTTATCCATTACTACTTATAAGTGTACAGCTCAGCTTATTTCCACAAGCCAAATAGACCCATGTAATTGATGGTTGTTTGGTGACAGAGAGAAGGGTTTTTTTTTAAATCTTTTAAAATGCATGACAGGAAAGTAGAATTACTTAAGTATTAAAAAAACAGTAAGAAGGGGAAATTAAAATGGTGTAGCTACTTTGGAAAATAGTCTGATAGTTCCTGAAATAATTAAACATAGAGTTACTATATGACCCAGCAATTGCACTCATAGGCATATATGCAAGACAAAACATATGTCCACACAAAAACTTGTACATAAATATTCATAGCATCATTAGCCACAATATCTAAAGGGTGAAAATAATCCAGATGTCCAACAACTGATGAATGGTTAAACAAAATGTGGTATACCCATATAATGGAATATTATTTGGCCATAAAAAGTAATGAAGTGGCCAGGCGCCATGGCTCACACCTATAATCTAGCATTTTGGGAGGCTGAAGCGGGTGGATCACTTGAGGTCAGGAGTTCAAAACTAGCCTGGCCAACATGGTAAAATGCCGTCTCTACTAAAAATACAAAAAAAATTAGCCAGGTATGGTGGCAGGTCCCTGTAATCCCAGCTACTTGGGAGGCTGAGGCAGGTGAATTGCTTGAACCTGGGAAGCAAAGGTTGCAGTGAGCCAAGATTGTGCCACTGTACTCCATCCTGGGTGACAGAGCGAGACTCCATCTCAAAAAAAAGGAATGAAATATCAATAGGATATACACTGCAATATGGATGAAGCTTGAAAATATTATGTTACATAAAAGAAGCCAGGTATGAAAGATATTATTGTATGGTTCCATTTATATGAAATGTCCAGAATCAAAATAGACAAATCCATACAGGCAGAAAGAGACTTGGGCAGTTAGAGTTAAAGAGGGGAATGGGGCATGACTGATAATGGATACAGGGTTTCTTTCTGGTGTCATGAAAATGCTCTGGAATTAGATAGTAATGATGGTTCTACATGTAAATATACTAAAACCACTCAATGCATACTTTTAAAAAGATGACTTTTACAGCATATGAAATATCTGTCCATTTTTTTTAAAGGAAAGTAGAATAAAAGAGCGCCAGAGCCGGCACTTGTCTGGAAATTATCCACTGATCCCTGGTGGCCTACAACCTGGGTTACAATGGGATATAAATGAAGGGACAGGAGACAAACCTTTAGAGGAAGACACTAGGAGAAGGGGGGTGGCAGTGGAATCCACAGAGGAAGACAGTGAAGATATGTGCCTTTTTGAGCCTTGGCCCTGGGTGGAATGATTTTAAAAAAAAGTTTCCCCTGAAAATCACTAACTCCACACCTAATTTGGAGCCAAAATTAATATTATCTATGTGGTCCAAAAATACTCCAAAAGTTTAGATCAGATGGGTCCTGGATTGGTTGTACCTCTAGGTGCCCAGCCGGCACAACAAACACAAATCCTGTTGAGGAATGCATTTTAAATCCAGGCTTCAAAGCATTGCCACAGATAAATATGCAAAGAATTTGAATATTATAATTTCCCTTTGGATTTCAGTTTAATCCTGGGTGGTTTAGGAATTTTTTATTGACAGAGCTGTTTAAATCTACCTTTTTATTATTAACTATTCTAGTGTTTTTGTTTTTGTTTTTGTTTTTTTGAGATGGAGTCTTGCTCTGTCGCCCAGGCTGGAGTGCAGTGGCGCTATCTCGGCTCACTGCAGGCTCCGCCCCCCAGGGTTCACGCCATTCTCCTGCCTCAGCCTCCCGAGTAGCTGGGACTACAGGCGCCCGCCACCTTGCCCAGCTAATTTTTTTGTATTTTTAGTAGAGACGGGGTTTCACCGTGTTAGCCAGGATGGTCTCGATCTCCTGACCTCGTGATCCGCCCGCCTCGGCCTCCCAAAGTGCTGGGATTACAGGCGTGAGCCACCGCGCCCGGCCAACTATTCTAGTGTTTTGTTGTCAGACAACATACTCTGTTGTGATGCTAATTATTTGGAGTTTATAGAGGCTCTTCTGTAACCTAGTCCATAATCAATTAATATAAATGTTCCATGGGTGCTTTAAAAATAGATATTTTTTAAAAATTGATATTTTTAAAGCACCCATGGAACATTTATATTAATTGATTATGAGTTTATATTATGGATTTATGTTATGCATTTATATTAATTGATTATGCATTTATAATTATTGATTACAGGTGTGAGCACAGTGAGATTACACCTGTAATCTTGGCACTTTGGGAGGCCAAGGTGGTTGAATCACTTGAGCCCAGGAGTTTAAGACCAGCCTAGACAACATGGCAAACCCCATTTCTACCAAAAAAAAAAACAAAAATTTTCTGGGCATGGTGGCGTAACCTGTAGTCCTAGCTACTTAGGAGGCTGAGGTGGGAGGATTGCTTGAGCCCAGGAAATTGAGGCTGCACACTGTGACTGTGCCACTGCACCCCAGCCTGGGTCACAGAGCAAGATACTGTCTCTTTAAAAAAAAAAAAAATTAGCTTTTCAGGCATGCAAAGTTCAACATATAGAACAATAGAAGATGAAATGTATTAATCTTGTACATTTTGTGTCTTATTTTGTATCTGCCTTATCAAAAAATTTTAAAGGTGTCGTGTTAGATATTACCATGTATTATTGTTGATTTAAAAAAATTTTCTCCAGTAGTCTACTGGTCCTGCTCCCTGTACTTTGAATGTATATTTGATATAATTTGGATGTTTGTCCCTTCCACATCTCATGTTGAAATGTAATCCCCGATGTTGGAGGTAGAACCTGGTGGGAGGTGTTTGGGTTATGGGGGTGAATCCCTCATTAATGGTTTGGTTCTGTCCTCGCAGTAATGAATGAGTTCTCACTCTGTAAGTTCACATGAGATCTGATTGTTTAAAAGAGCCTGGCACTTCCTCCCTCTCTTACTTGCTCCTTCTCTCACCGTGCAACACACTGGTTCCCCTTCACCTTCTGCCATGATTGTAAGCTTCCTGAGGCCCTCACCAAAAGCAAATGCTAGCACTATGCTTTATGTACAACCTAAAGAACCACAAGCTAGTTAAACCTCTTCTCTTTATAAATTACCCAGCCTCAGGTATTTCTTTATAGCAACACAACTGGACTAATACAATGTTGTTTAGTGCATATTTCTTCCATCATTAGTGGCACATATGTTTATAATATATTTTCTTGATCTATTTTTTTTTACCAATATGCAGTAACCCACTTTATTCCTTGTATTACTGCTCTCCATGAAAACAGAACCAATTGGATGTGCATATACATAGAAAGAGATGTATTATAAGGAATTGGCTCATGCAATTATGGAGACCGTCAAGTCCAAATCTACTGTATAGGCCAGAAGTCTATAGCTAGGGGATCAGATAAAGTCCAGCAGGCAGAGAATTTCCTCTCGCTTGGAAAGACTGGTCTTTTTGTTCTATCCAGGCCTGCAACTGATTAGATGAGGTTCACCCACATTATGGAGGGCAATCTGCCCCACCCAAAGTTTACTGATTTAAATGTTCATCTCATCCAAAACACCCTCCAAGTTGAAACATAAAATTAACTATCACATCCCTTGTAACTTTTTTTTTTGCCTTAAATTCAAACTGTATATTAAAATTATTACCCCAGTTCTCTTCTGGTTCATATTTTGCTGGTTTGCATTTTCTATGCTTATTTTTTACCTCTCTTGAACTGTTTATTTTATGTCTATCCTCTGTAAATGACATATTGCTACATTTAATTTTTTAAAATACATTCTGAGATTCTCAGGTTATGATTTAGAAGTTTAATCTACTCATATATATTCTAATTTCTGGTATATTGGCACTCTATTTGCCATCTTTTTCAAGTTTTATTTTTGCCATACTTTCTTTTTTGCCTGCATTTTGATAGATCACATTTTCTTCTGCTTGTTTAAAATTTATGTATTTTGTTTTTATTCTTCAGGTAGTAATCCCTAAGTTTTTTTGTTTTTTGTTTTTTTTAGACAAGGTCACTCTGTCACCCAGGCTGGAGTGCAGTGGCACAATCATGGCTCACTGCAGCCTCAAACTCCCAGGCTCAAGCAATCCTCCCACCTCAGCCTCCTGAGTAGCTGGGACTACAGACATGTGCCACCACAGCCAGCTAAATTTTTTGAAGTTTTTTGTAGAGATAGAGCAGCAGCCCAGGCTGGTCTCAAACTCCTGGGCTCAAGTGAACCTCTCGACTCAGCCTCCCGAAGTGCAGTGCTGGGATTACAGGTGTGAGCCACCACATCTGGCGCTAACTTACCAAGGACCATATTTACACTTATTTTTCCTTGTCAATGTCTAAAGTTTAGCAACTCTTACCACTCTCTAGATTCTCTATTCATACCTCACTTCCACCATCAGTGGGTTTTTTTCAATTTTATTTTTTAGTGTTACATAATAATTGTACATATTTGTGGGATACATGTGATGTTTTGATACATGTATACAATGCGTAATGATCAAATCAGAGTAATTAGGATATCCATCACCTCAAATATTTATCATTTCTTTGTGTTGAGAACATTTCAAATCTTCTAGCTATTTTGAAATATATAAGTTACTGTTAGCTATAGTCACCCTACTATGATATTGAACACTAGAACTTATTCCTTATATCTAACTATATTTTTGTACCCATTAACTAATCTCTCTTCATCCCCCATAACCCATTTCCCTCATAGCCTCTGGTAATGGTCATTCTACTCTCTATCTTCATGGGATCAACATTGTTAGCTCCCACATATAAGTGAGAACATGCAGAATTTCTTTCTGTGCCTGGCTTATTTCACTTAATGTATGTCCTCTAGTTCTATCCTTCTTGAAGCAAATCACATAATTTATTCTTTTTTATTGCTGAGTCATATTCTATTGTGTATATAAACCACATTTTCCTTATTCATTCAACTATTGATGGATGCTTAGGTTGCTTCTATATCTTGGCTATTGTGAATAGTGCTGCAATAACCATGTAGTGCAGATATCTCTTTGATATATTGATTTTCTTTCTTTGGAATATATATGCAACAGTAGGATTGCTGGGTCATATGGTAGGCCTATTTTTAGTTTTTTGAGGCACCTCCATACTGTTTTTCATAGTGGCCATACTAGCTTACATTCCCACCAACAATGTACTAGTGTTCCCCTTTCTCTGTAACCTCATGAGCATTTTTTTTTTTTTTTGAGACAGTCTCACTCTGTCACCCAGGCTGGAGTACAGTGGCACAATCTCGGCCCACTGCAACCTCTGCCTCCTGGGCTCAAGCCATTCTTGTGCCTCAGCCTCCTGAGTAGCTGGAATTACAGGCATGTGCCACCACACCCAGCTTATTTTTGTAATTTTACTAGAAACGGGGTTTCACCTTATTGGCCAGGCTGTTCTTGAACTCTGACCTCAAGGGATCCGCCTGCCTCGGCCTCCTAAAGTCCTGGGATTACAGGCATGAGCCACCACGCCCAGAAGGATTTGGTTTTTCAATAAATATAATTTCCATTTTTATTCAGGATTAGATTAGATTTAGATTCAGGGAGCACATGTGCAGGTTTGTTACTTGGGTATATTGTGTGATGTTGAGATTTGGGATCTGAATGATCCCATCACTCAGGTAGTGAGCATGGTAACCAATAGTTAGTGTTTGAACCCTTCTGCCTCCTTCCTCTAGAAGTCCCCAGTGTCTATTGTTGCCATCTTTATGTCCATGAGTACCCAGTGTTTTGCTCTGACTTACAAGTGAGAACATGCTGTGTTTGGTTTTCTGTTCCTGCATTAATTTGCTTAGGATGTGGCCTCCAGCTCCATCCATGTTGCCACAAAGGACATAATTTTATTCTTTTTATGGCTGCATAGTATTCCATGGTGTATATGTGCCACATTTCCTTTATCCAGTCCACCACTGATAGGCACCATGGTTGATTCCATGTCTTGGTATTGTGAATAGTGCTGCAATGAACATATGATTGCATGTGTCTTTTTGGAAAAATGGTTTATTTTCTTTTGGATATGTACCCAATAATGGGATTGCTGGATCAAATGGTAGTTCTGTTTTAAGTTCTTTGATGACTCTCCAAACTGCTTTCCACAGTAGCTGAACTAATTTACATTCCCACCAACAGTGTATAAGCATTCCCTTTTCTCTGCAGCCTTGCCAACATCTGTCGTTTTTTGACTTTTTAATAATTGCCATTATGACTGGTGTGAGATGGTATCTCATTGTGGGTTTGATTTGCATTTATCTTATGATTAGTTGCTTTGAGCATTTTTTCATGTTTATTGGCCACTTTTATGTCTTCTTTTGAGAAGTGTCTGTTCATGTCTTTTGCCCACTTTTTAATGGGGTTGTTTCTTGCTTGTTGAATTATTTAAGTTCCTTATAGATTCTAGATATTAGATCTTTGTCAGATGTATGTTTGTGAATATTTTCTCTCATTCTGGAGGTTGTTTAGTGTACTGACAATTTATTTTGCTGAACAGAAGCTTTTTAGCTTAACTAGTTCTCACTTGTCAATTTTTGCTTTTGTTGCAATTGCTTTTGGGGACTTAGTCATAAATTCTTTCCCAAGGTTGCTATCCAGAATGGAGTTTCCTTGGTTTTCTTCTAGAATTCTTATAGCTTGACATTCTTACATTTAAATCTGTAATCCAATTTGAGTTAATTTTTGTATATTGTGAAAGTTAGGGGTCCAGTTTCATTCTTCTGCACATGGCTACCACCTAACCCAGCACCGTTTATTGAATAGAGAACCTTTTCTCCATTTTTTTTTTTCTTTTGAGACAGGATCTCACTCTGTCACCCAGGCCAGAGTGCAGTGGCATGATCACAGCACACTGCAACCTCAGCCTCCTGGGCTCAAGCAATCTATCAACCTCAACCTCTCAAGTAGCTGGGACCCTAGGCAAGTGACACTACACCTGGGTTTTTTTTTTTTAGAGGAAAGGTCTCACTCGCTACATTGCCATTGCCCAGGCTGGTCTTGAATTCCTGATGTCAAGCCATCCTTCTGCCTCAGTCTCCCAAAGTACTGAGATTACAGGTGAGAGCAACCACACCTGGCCCCTATTGCTTACTTTTGTCAACATTGTCGAAGACCAGAAGGCTGTAGGTGTGCAGCTTGATTTCTGGGTTCTCTGTTCCATTCTATTGGCCTATGTGTCTGTTTTACTACCAGTAGTACCATGCTGTTTAGGTTACTATAGCCTTATAGTATAGTTTGAAGTCAGGTAATGTGATGCCTCAAGCTTGGTTCTTTTTGCTTAGGATTGATTTGCTATTCAGGCTCTTTTTTGGTTCCATATGAATTGTAGAATAGTTTTTCCTAGTTCTGTGAAAAAGGACATTCGTAATTTGGTAGGAATCATGTTGAATCTGTAGACTGCTTTGGGCAGCATGGCCATTTTAATGATATTGATTCTTCCAATCCATGAGCATGACATGTTTTTTCCATTTGCTTGTGTCATCTATTATTTCTTTTGACAGTGTTTTGTAGTTCTCCTTATAGAGATCTTTTATCTCCTTGGTTCGTTGTATTCCTAGATATTTTATTTTTTGTGTGGCTAATGTAAATGGGATTCTATTCTTGATTTGGCTCTCAGCTTGAACATTATTGGTGTATGGAAATGCTACTGGTTTTGTAGATTGATTTTGTGTACCGAAACTTTGCTGAAGTCATCCTTTTTTTTTATCAGTTCCAGCAGCCTTTTGGTGGAGTCTTTAGGGTTTTCTAGGTACAGAATCATATCATCACTGAAGACAAATAGTTTGATTTCTTCTTGTTGTATTTGAATGTTTTTTCTTTTTTTCTTTAACCTGGTTGCTCTGGCTAGGACTTCCAGTACTATGGTGAATAGGAGTGGTGAAAATGGGCATCCTTGTCTTGTTCCAGGTCTTAAGGGGAATGCTTCCAGCTTTTGCCCATTCAGTATGATGTTGGCTGTGGGTTTGTCATATTATTTTGAGGTATGTTTCTTTGATTCCTAGTTTGTTGAGAGTTTTTTTCATGAAGGGATGTTGGATTTTATCATAGGCTTTTTCCCACACCTATTGAGATGATCACATGGATTTTGTTTTTAATTCTGTTTCATGTGGTGAATCACACTTATTGATTTGCATATGTTGAACCCACCTTGCATCCCAGCAATGAAGCCTACTTGATCATAGTAAATTAACTTTTTCATATGCTGCTGGATTTGGTTTATTGGATTTTGTTGAACAATTTAGTGTCTGTGTTCATTAGGGATATTGGCATGTAGTTTTCTTTTTTCATTGTGTCTTTTTGATAATATTTTAATTGTGGTGAGATAATATCTCACTGTGGTTTTGATTTGCATTTCCCTGATCATTAGTGATGTTGAGCATTTTTTAATATAACTGTTGGCCATTTTATGTCCTCTTTTGTAAAAATATCTATTCAGATAATTTGCTTATTTTTAAATGAGATTATTATTACTATTTGTTATTGAGTTGTTTGAGCTCCTTATATATTCTGGTTATTAATCCCCTGTCAGATGAATAGTTTATAAATATTTTCTCTTATTCTGCAGATTGTCTCTTCACTCTGTTGATTATTTCCTTTGTTGTGCAGAAGCATTTTAACTTGATATAAACTTATTTGTCTATTTTTGCTTTTGTTGCCTATAGTTTTGATGTCTTACCCAAGCAATCTTTGTGCAGACCAATATCCTGAAGGATTTCTCCAATGTTTTCTTCTAGTGGTTTCATAGTTTCAGACCTTACATTTAAGTCTTTAATCCATCTTTATTTGATTTTTGTATATGGTGAAAGATAGGGGTCTAGTTCATTCTTGTGCATAGAGATGTTCAGTTTTCCAAGCACCATTACTGAAGAGAGTATCCTTTCCTCAATGTGTATTTTTGGCATCTTTCTCAAAAATGAGTTGGCTATAAATGCACGGATTTATTTCTGAGTTCTCTATTCTGTTCCATTGGTCTATGTGTCTGTTTTTATGCCAGTACCATGCTGTTTTTGTTTCTATAGCTTTTTAGTGTATTTTGAAGTTTCGTAGTGTGATACCTCCAACTTTGTTCCTTTTTTGCTCAGGAACAACTTTGTTTCTTTTTTTTTTTTTTTTAGTGTTACAGTTCTTTTATTTATTTATTTATTTATTTATTTATTTATTTATTTTTTTATTGATCATTCTTGGGTGTTTCTCGCAGAGGGGGATTTGGCAGGGTCATAGGACAATAGTGGAGGGAAGGTCAGTAGATAAACAAGTGAACAAAGGTCTCTGGTTTTCCTAGGCAGAGGACCCTGCGGCCTTCCGCAGTGTTTGTGTCCCTGGGTACTTAAGATTAGGGAGTGGTGATGACTCTTAACGAGCATGCTGCCTTCAAGCATCTGTTTAACAAAGCACATCTTGCACCGCCCCTAATCCATTTAACCCTGAGTGGACACAGCACATGTTTCAGAGAGCACAGGGTTGGGGATAAGGTCACAGATCAACAGGATCCCAAGGCAGAAGAATTTTTCTTAGTACAGAACAAAATGAAAAGTCTCCCATGTCTACTTCTATCCACACAGACCCGGCAACCATCCGATTTCTCAATTTTTTCCCCACTCTTCCCGCCTTTCTATTCCACAAAACCGCCATTGTCATCATGGCCCATCCCCAGTGAGCCGCTGGGCACACCTCCCAGACGGGGTCGTGGCCGGGCAGAGGGGCTCCTCACTTCCCAGTAGGGGCGGCCGGGCAGAAGCGCCCCTCACCTCCCGGACTGGGCGGCTGGCCGGGCGGGGGGCTGACCCCCCCACCTCCCTCCTGGACGGGGCGACTGGCCGGGCAGAGGGGCTCCTCACTTCCCAGTAGGGGCGGCCGGGCAGAGGAGCCCCTCACCTCCCGGACAGGGCGGCTGGCCGGGCGGGGGGCTGACCGCCCCCCACCTCCCTCCCGGTCGGGGTGGCTGCCGGGCGGAGACGCTCCTCACTTCCCAGACGGGGTGGCTGCCGGACGGAGGGGCTCCTCACTTCTCAGACGGGGCGGTTGCCAGGCAGAGGGTTTCCTCACTTCTCAGACGGGGCGGCCGGGCAGAGACGCTCCTCACCTCCCAGACAGGGTTGCGGCCCAGCAGAGGCGCTCCTCACATCCCAGACAGGGCGGCGGGGCAGAGGTGCTCCCCACATCTCAGACGATGGGCGGCCGGGCAGAGACGCTCCTCACTTCCTAGATGGGATGGCGGTGGGGAAGAGGCGCTCCTTGCTTCCTAGATGGGATGGCAGCCGGGCAGAGACACTCCTCACTTTCCAGACTGGGCAGCCAGGCAGAGAGGCTCCTCATATCCCAGACGATGGGAGGCCAGGCAGAGAGGCTCCTCACTTCCCAGACGGGGTGGCGGCTGGGCAGAGGCTGCAATCTCGGCACTTTGGGGGGCCAAGGCAGGCGGCTGGGAGGTGGAGGTTGTAGCAAGCCGAGATCACGCCACTGCACTCCAGCCTGGGCACCATTGAGCACTGAGTGAACCAGACTCCGTCTGCAATCCCGGCACCTCAGGAGGCCGAGGCTGGCGGATCACTCGCGGTTAGGAGCTGGAGACCAGCCCGGCCAACACAGCAAAACCCCGTCTCCACCAAAAAAAAAACGAAAACCAGTCAGGCGTGGCGGCGCACGCCTGCAATCGCAGGCACTCGGCAGGCTGAGGCAGGAGAATCAGGCAGGGAGGTTGCAGTGAGCCGAGATGGCAGCAGTACCGTCCAGCTTTGGCTCAGCATCAGAGGGAGACCGTGGAAGGAGACCGTGGGAAGGGGGGAGGGAGAGGGAGAGGGAGAGGGAGAGGGAGAGGGAGAGGGAGAGGGAGAGGGAGAGGGAGAGGGAGAGGGAGAGGGAGAGGGAGAGGGAGAGGGAGAGGGAGAGGGAGAGGGAGAGGGAGAGGGAGAGGGAGAGGGAGAGACAACTTTGTTTCTTTTTGCTCGGGGTCTTTTGTGGTTTCATACAAATTTTAGAATTGCCTTTTCTATTTCTGTGAAAAATGTCATTGGTGTTTTGATAGGGATTTCATTGAATCTGTAGGTTGCTTTGGGTAGTATGGACATTTTAACAATATTAGTACTTCCAATCCATGAGCATTAGATATCTGTCCTTTTTGTATGTGTGTCCTATTTAATGTTTTTCATCAGTGTTTTACAGTTTGCCTTGTAGAGGTCTTTTACTTCTTTGGTTAAATTTATTCCTAGGTATTTTTTTTGTAGCTATTGTAAATAGGATTGCTTTCTTGATTTCTTTTTTAGATTGTTGACTGTTGATGTAGATAAATGCTACTGATTTTTGTTGATTTATCTTTGTTGATTTGCATCTTTACTGAATTCATTTATCAGTTAATTCCAGGTTGTTTTGCCAGTCCTTTCTGGCATCTCCAAAATTTTTCGTGCATGAGCAGGAGCCAGAGCCATGGTTATTTCACCATCTTACTTGGAACCAGAAGTCTCTGATGTAATGCATGAAACATTCATGCAAAGACATTTACATAATTATGAACACATGCCTTAAGAATAAGTGGTACGCCATATATTTGTGTGTGCATGTGTGATATATGTATGTGTATGTATATATATACCTTTATTTTATTCTTCTTTCTTTTTTCTTTTTTTTTTTTTTTTGACATGGGGTCTCACTCTGTCACCCAGGCTGGAGTACAGTGGCACAATCTTGGCTCACCTCCACCTCCCGGGGTCAAGCAATCCTCCCACCTCGGCCTCCCTAATAGCTGGGACCCCAGGTGCATGCCACCACACCCAGCTACTTTTTGTATTTTTGGTAGAGATGGGATTTCACCGTGTTGCCCAGGCTGGCCTCGAGCTCCTGTGCTCAAGCAATTTGCCTGCCTTGGCTCCCAAAGTGCTGGGATTACAGGCATGAGCCATTGTGCCCAACCATTTATTTATTTATTTATTTATTTATTTATTTATTTATTTTTATTTTCTTCCTTCCTTTCTTCTTTCCTCCCTTTTTTTTTCCAAACATTGCATTAGGCCTTAAGAGAGCCATAAAAATGAACACAATATTATCTTTACCATCATAATCCAGTAAGGAAAATAAACTGTCTAGTCACTATAAACAAGGAATAATATGAATTAGAGTTATAAGGAATTTTTAAAAGGGGAGAAATTTATCTGGGGCTAAGACTGGGAAGACCTAATAGAATAGTATTTGACCAAAATCTGATGGACTTTATAGATTTTCAACAGGTCAAGATTAGAAAAGAAGGTATTTCCTGTTTAAAAGAAATATCAACAGTGACATGAAGCTAAAAGGCATATTCAGGGAATGGGAAATAGAATCCAATTGGACAAAAAAGGAGTAAACAAATGGATTTGCAAGAGTTAGTATAAATTAGGAGTACCCGGATACATATATGGTATTGACTCCATGTCCTTGGCTGGATATATGTAAAGCTCTAAATTGATAAGATTGGTTTTTATGTTTAATTCATAGAGTACCTCATTGTTTTATGGTCACAGTTCTTACATGATAGCCACAAAGCCCTATGACCTCTTTCTTATTGAAACATCCATGAATATTTGGTTCATTATCCCAGATGATATCTTTAAGACCCTTTATCCAGCTGGCTAGCAGGGTATGATATCTGTTGAAAATGGAAAAATTCAAATACCCTAAAATGGATATTTAGATGTTCCCTTTCTCTAATCATCCCATTATTATTATAGAAAAAGTTAGTCCTACCCAATTTTCTCTTTAGAAAGCTAAGCAGATAAGTACACTGTTTCCCAGTGCCTTGCACATTTCTTGGTGATTGAGCAATTATTGAGGCAATTAAATTATCTTTCTAAGCTTTTAATATATTACCCTAAAGTCACAAGGCAAATTCTTTTCCCCTCCTTTAAAAAAGATGAATGTTATATTTGCTCTTCCCTAGGAATGCTTTTATCCTATTGTTATTGGTGCTATTGGTGGATCTGCTGTCATGCAGTCCCATTTTTTTAAGTTTCCCTGCTCTTAGCCTTTCCTGATATGGTCCAGTTTTTACTTTAACATGTTATTCGAGCTTTCATGACATCTGAGGGTATTTTTTTTCTTTTCATGGAAGGCACCTACTCTAACCAATCGGTGATAAACTTTTTCTTAAAAATAATTGTGAAAAACTCTAGCATTTTCCAAATCATCTACCCTTCCTTTTGTTCTTTATTTTGTCTGTTGTTATAGTCTAAAGCAATGGTCCCCAACCCACGGACCATGGACTGGTAGTGGTGGCATTAGATTCTCTTAGGAGTGCAAACCCTGTTGTGAAGTGCACATGCAAAGGATCTAGGTTGCACACTCCTTATGAGAATCTAATGCCTGATGATCTGAGGTGGAGCTGAGGCAGTGATGCTAGCACTGGCAAGTGGCTGCAAATACAGATTAACATTGGCAGAAAGGTTTGACTGCACAAAGATCACAATAAATCAATTGCTTGCAGACTCATATCAAAACCTTATCAGTGAGTGGCAAGTGACAATTAAGCTGCATCTGATGGCAAGCTTTATAGAGGCAAGTGAGTTGATGTGCTTCAATTGTACAGCTGCATCTGGTGGCAAGTTTTAAGTCAGAATCCAACACTTATTTTAGTCTGTGTGTGGCCCGCCCATTTTATTTACCACTTCCATCTATTATTTTATTTATTTATGTTATGATTTTATTTACCACTTCCACACTGTGCGCTTGTCTCAGTCGCAGTTTTAGTAAGCCCACAAGCTAACCCTAGCCAGAAATGAGTAAAAACAAACATCACTGGAGAACTTCCTTGAAAAGGGGCAAAGACCCAATCATGAGACAGAAGACTGTAAGACTACCAACAAAAAGAAAGCCGCATTTAAAAGAAAGTATCAAGAATGCTACTTAAATTACAGGTTCATTGCAACAGGTGATTCACATTCTCCAAGCCCACTTTGTATAATATGTGACCAAAGCCATTAAACCTTCAAAACTGCTTTGCCACATGGAGACCATGCACTCTGCATTAAAAGACAAGCCTTTGGAGTTTTTCAAAAGAAAAAAATGTGAACACAAAGAACTGGAGCAATTATTGAAGGCCACCCCTTCATCAAATGTGTCTGCACTGAAAGCATCATTCTTTGTGGCTAACTACGTTGCTAAAGCTAAGAACCCCTTTACTATTGGTGAAGAGTTGATCCTGTCTGCTGCTAAGAATATTTGTCATGAACTTCTAGGAGAGGCTTCAGTTCAAATGTGTTCCTCTTTTGGCTAGCACCATAACTGGATGAATCGATTAAATAGCAGAGGATATTGAGGCACAATTGTTAGAGAGTATTAATGAGTCACCATGGCACACAATCCAGGTTGACCAGTCTACCAATATTGACAAGGCAGCAATGCTTGTTTTTGTGCCATATATTTTTCAGGAGGATGTGCATGAGGATATATTATGTGCACTTTTGTTGCCAACAAACAGCACAACTGCAGAACTATTCAAATCTTTGATAACATATCAGGAAAACTGAATTGGTCATTTTATGTCCATATACGCATGGATGGAGCAACTGTCATGGCTGGACGGCTTTCTGGTTTCACTATTCAGGTCAAACAGGCCGCCTCTGAATGTGAGTCTATACACCATGTCATCCATAGAAAAATGCTGGCTAGGTGAAAAGGGTCACCTGAACTTAACAACATTTTGCAGGATGTGATTAAAATTATCAACCACATTAAAGTATATGACCTTAGTTCATGTCCATTTACACAGCTCTGTGAGGAGATGGACACAGAGCACACACAACTTCTCTTGTAACAGAAGTGAGATGGCTTTCTAATGGTAGATCACTGGCCAGAGTTTTTGAGTTTCGAGAGCCACTCCAGAGATTTCTTCTAGAAAAACAGTCACCACTGGCAGAACATTCCAGCGACACAGAATGGGTCACAAAACTTGCTTATTTGTGTGACATATTTAACCTGCTCAACGAACTCAATCTGTCACTTCAGCGGAGAATGCAAACTTTGTTAAAGTCGACAGATAAAGTGGCTGCATTCAACGCCAAACTGGAATTATAAGGGCGATGAGTGAACATTGGGCTTTCTAACATGTTTTTAACATTAGCAGAGATTTTTGAGGGAGACTGAGCCAGGGCCTTCTTTTTCCCAGCTGGTGCATGATAACCTATCTCAACTTTTAAAAGAGTTTGAGCATTACTTTCCAACCACAAACGACCCCCTAACCAGGAAAGAATAGATCTATGCCCCATTTGTGAATAAGTCAGGTAAATCAACTTTGTCAATCCTGGAAGAGGATCAACTCCTTGAGATTGCAAATGTCGGTGGCCTCAAAAGTATGTTTGAGATTACTTCAAATCTCCATACGTTCTGGATTAAAGTGAAAGCAGAATATACTGAGATTGCCACAAAAGCACTAAAAAGCCTGCTTCTATTCCCAACATCCTATCTTTGTGAAGCAGGGTTTTCTGCTGTGACAGCAACCAAAACGAGATTGCAGACTGGACATAAGCAACACACTTCGGGTACCACGGTCTCCCATCACCCGTGGATGGGACCGTATAGTTGCAGGAAAACAAACTCAGGGCTTCCACTGATTCTACATTATGGTGAGTTGTATAATTATTTCATTATATATTACAATGTATTAATAATAGAAATAAAGTGCACAATAAATGTAATGCACTTGAATCATCCCGAAACCATCCCCCCACCTCCACCCCAGTCTGTGGAAAAATTGTCTTCCACAAAACCAGTCCCTGGTGCCAAAAAGGTTGGGGACCACTGATCTAAAGAATGCTTGTCAGTTATCTTTTAGGTTTCTCACGTATTGCATCCTCTTTGTGCCTTACTACATACATTTCATACTGGATGCTTTATTTTCAGTCCTCAGCTACAAAATAACACATTAAACTCAGATACTTAAGAAACCGACAGCCAGTTTCAAGAGGTTTCTCTGAGTAGGCAGTGAGAGATTATAATTAAGCTGCTATGTGCTTTTAAAAAGGAGATTTTCAACAGAAAATTATAGCCCCAGTGAACTATTGATTACTCACAGGATAAAACTGTATGAATAATTAAAATCTACAGGTTATCCTAATAAAATCTGTTTCCCTCTATGCCACTAGCCCGTATTTCCTACCAACCATTCCTATCACCATAATTCACAACTCTGATCAACCAAAATTTAAAAATGTGGCAGAATTATAAAATTCACTGTTGTAGATAGAAAAGGAAATATACTTTATAAATCAAATGTATCCATATGAAGGATTACGGGAACTCATATAAAAACACATCCACATATCCAAATACATGCATGCTGGGAATCATTCAGTAGGACATTTTATTCAATTGAAAAATAAAAACAGATACCAGACTGAAACCATGTTAAAAGGAAAACATTTAAAAAAGTCCTATCAAATCAAAAATCAGTTTGAAAGTGTGCTGACAATTCAAGAATAAGGAATAATAGGAAACACCTGTGATCTGCGGGGGGTCAGTGTTTAAAAGATACTATAAAAGAGTGGTTCACAAAGTGTGCATTGTCCTCTCTACCCATAACAGCATACTATCATCTGTGAACTTGCTAGAAATGGAAGTTCTTGGGCCCTGTCCTAGACCTAGACCTATCAATTAGAAACTTCGAGGGTAGGGCCCAGCAATTAATGTTTTAACAAGTCAGGTGACTCTGATTCACAGTAAAGTTTGGGAACCGCTGGTGTAAAATCCAGGGGAAAAATATTTAAAGGGCACTTCTTTATCATATCCAATCTATATTCCTCTAAATCTAAATAGCCATGGGATTTGGCTACCCATAGCTTATCTATGACCTTGTAAAGTGAAAACTATAAGATCTGCCACAAAAAAGCAAGCATGATGTCCTGTTATCAAAATAATTCCTGAACTAAACATATCAGGTTTGCTGCTCTATATCTCAGTCATCAGGGCTTAATTCCATAACATAAACAAGCAGCTCTTCTTATTCCTCTCTTAATCCTCTTACCCCCTCGACAGGTTTCTCTGTGTCTACAGTCTTTGACAGTGAATTTCAGTCTCTAATTGTTTTACTGGCCAGAATTCATGAAATTGTAATTGTTGAACAGTGATATTTCCAAGTCTAAGTAGTTTAAGAAAGAAATAGGGAGCCTTATGTATGGCATGGATATCAGTTCTGAAATATAAAGTTATATTTTTTAAAGTTCTAAACGTTTTTACAGTTCTTTAACATATTTCTTTTGCCAATACATTTTACTTTTGAATGTTTCATGGAGTCAGAAGAGGATACCATTAAGATAAAACACTTGCCATAGGGTTGAAAAACTAATTATTGGATAGTATGCTCAGTATGTGGGTGATGGGATCAATCATACCCCAAACCTCAGCATCACACACTATTCCCACGTAACAAACCTGTACATGTGCCTCCCTGGATCTAAAATAAAAGGGTTTTTTTTGTTTGTTGGTTTTTGTTTTGTTTTGTTTTGTTTTTTGAGAGAGAGTCTTGCTCTGTCACCCAGGCTGGAGTGCAGTGGTGCAATCTCGGCTCACTGCAACCCCCACCTCCTGGGTTCAAGCAATTCTCCTGCCTCAGCCTCCTGAGTAGCTGGGATTACAGGCGTGCGCCAGCACACCCAGCTAATTTTTGTATTTTTAGTAAAGACAGAGTTTCACCACATTGGCCAGGCTGGTCCCGAACTCCCGACCTCAAGTGATCCACCCACCTCAGCCTCCCAAAGTGCTGGGATTACAGGCATGAGCCACTGTGCCCAGCCGAAAATACAAGTGTTTTAATTAAAAAACAAACAAACACACACTTGCCATTATGTATCAAAGGGGAATATGATATAGTTATAAAAATAATACCATAGGCAGTTTATAATTTAAGAGTTCTTCAAAAACATATAAATCCTTGAAGTCAGATTCCCTCTAATATTTTGAAATATTGGAGAAGGCAATACATTGAATTAGAAACATTTTGGAATGCATGCTTTTTCTGCTCTTAAATCTACAAGCTGCCTTTACAACAATAAGTAAAGCAAATAAAAAGCAACATCTGTGATCATTACACAGTAAACTCTTGCTTAATTTTGTAATGGTGGGAGTCTCTCTAGTACAATGAATCTCATCTTTGGTTGCATATCAGAATCACCCAGAGAGCCTGTAAAAGCACCAATGCTCAGGCAGTACCCCAAAACAATTAAATGAAAATCTCTGGGGGCAAAACCTAGATATCAGTATCTTTTAAAGCTTCCCCAGGAATGCTAGGGCAGCCAAAGTTGAGACCCAGTGCTCAAGTTGATCACAGCTCTTTCACAGAAAGAATTATATTTAATGCAGTTAACATATAGAATCTGAGGATGTGAATGAAGCGTCTGTTGATTATTATTGGCAACTACATCCTTAGCTCACAATCATTTTATGTCACTTCATTTACTCAAAAACTTAAGTGTTTATAGAAAATAACTCAAAATGGATCAAAGATTTAACCACAAAAGCTAAAACAATAAAACTCTTAGAAAAAAAACATAGGACAAAAGCTTCATGACATTGCATTTGGTAATGATTTCTTGGCTATGACACTGAAAGCATACGCAACAAAAGTAAAAATAGATAAATTGGACGCTATAAAAATTAAAAACTTCTGCACATCAAAGGATATAATCAACAGAGTGAAAAAACAACCTATTGATGAAAATAGTATAAACTATATATCTGATAATAGATTAATACCCAAAATATAAAAAGAATTCTTACAACTCAACAACAACAACAATAAACTGATTACAAAATGGGCAAAAGACTTGATTAGGCATTCTCCAAAGAATATATATATAAACGGTCAATAAAATGAAAAATGCTCAACTCCAGTAATCATCAGGGAAATGCAAGTCAGAACTACAATGAGATAGCACTTCACACCCATTAGGATGGCTACTATCAAAAAAACAGAAAATAACAAATATTGGCAAGGATATAAAGAAATTGGTACCCTTATGCACTGTTTGGGCATATATAAAATGGTGTAGATACTATGGAAAACAATATGGTGGTTTCTCAAAAAATTAAAAATAGAATTAGCATGTGATCCAGAAATTCTAACTCTGGGTATATACCCCCCAAAATTAATAGCAGTATCTTGAAGAGATATTTATACACTGATGTTTACAGCAACATTATTCACAATAGCCAAAAGGTGAAAGGAATCCAAGTGTCCATCAACAGGTGAATGGATGAACAAAATGTGTACAGACATACAATGGAATATTATTCAGCCTTAAAAAGGAAGAAAACTCTGACACATGTTATGATATGGATGAACCTTCAAAACATTATTCTAAGTGAAATCAACTGGTCACAAATAGACAAATGCTATATGATTCCATGTATATGAGGTCAAATTCATAGAGACAGAAAGTAGAATAGTGGTTGGCAAGTGCTGGAGAGAAGGAATGAAGAGTTGTTTTTTAATTATTATTACTTATATAAATTTAAGTGCAGTTTTTGTTACATGGATATATTGCATAGTGTTAAAATCTGGGCTTTTAGTGTATCCATCAGGTGAATAATATACATTGTACCCTTTTAAGTTATTTTTCATTATCCACACCCTTCCAACCCCTATACCCTTCTGAGTCTCCAATGTCTAGTTCTTTTTGTTTGAGTTGTTTCACCTAAGATAATGGCCTCCAGTTCTACCCATATTGCTGCAAAAGACATGATTTCATTCCTTTTCTTTCTTTTATTTTTTTTTTTTTTTTAGGCAAGGTCTTGCTCTGTCCCCCAGGCTGGAGTGCAGTGGCACAATCACAGCTCACTGCAGTCTTGACCTCCTGGGCTCAAGCAATCCACCCACCTCGGCCTCCCAAGAAGCTGGAACTACAGGTGGATGCCATCACACCCAGCTTTTTTGTATTTTTTGTAGAGATGGGGTTTGTTGCCCAGGCTCGTCTGTAACTCCTGGACTCAAGCAATCTTCCTGCGTCAGCCTCCCAAAGTACTGGGATTATAGGCGTGAGCCACTGCATCCAGCCTCCTTCCTTTGTATGGCTGAATAGTATTCCCTTGTGTATACATACCACATTTTCTGTATCCAGTCATTTGTTGATGGACACTTAGGTTGATTCCATATCTTTGCTATTGTGAATAGTGCTGCAATAATTATAAGTGCAAGTTTCTTTTTTGTATAATGATTTCTTTTCCTTGGGGTAGATACCCAGTAGTGTGATTTCTGGGTTAAATGGTAGTTCTATTTGTAGTTCTTTGAGAAACCTCCATACTGTTTTCCATAGAGGCTGTACTAACTTACATTCCCACCAATAGTGTATAAGTGCTCCCTTTTCTCTGCATCCTTGCCAACATCTATTATTTTTTGTCTTTTTAATAATAGCCATTCTGACTGGTGTAAGATGATATCTCATTGTGATTTTAATTTGCACTTTTCTGCTGATTAGTAATGTTAAGCATTTTTTGGAGTTGAGATTTTCGTTGAGTTGTTTGAGTTCCTTATAAATTCTGGATATTAGTCCCCTGTCAAATGGATAGTTTGTAAATATTTTCTCCCATTCCACAGGCTCTTTGTTCATTCTGTTGATTATTTCTTTTGCCATGCAGAAGCTTTTTAGTTTAATTAAGTCCCATTTGTCTATTTTTGGTTATGTTGCTTGTGCTTTTTAGGTCTTAGTCATAAACTTTTTGCCTAGGCCAATATACAGAATTTTCTTTAGTATTTTTATCGTTTCAGGTCTTACATTTAAGTTTTTAATCTACCTTGAGTTGATTTTTGTATATGGTGAAAGATAGGGATCCAGTTTCATTCTTCTGCATATGGCAATCCAATTTTCCCAGCATCATATATTGAAAAAGTTGTCTTTTGCCAGTGTATCTTCTTGTCAACTTTGTCAAAGATCAGTTGCAGATATGTAGCTTGATTTCTGGGTTCTCTACTCTGTTCCATTGATCTATTTTTATACCAATGCCTTGCTGTTTGAGTTACTATACCCTTGTAGTATAATTTGAAGTCAGGTAATGTGATACCTCCAGCTTTTTTTTTTTTTTTTCTCTCTCTTCGGAGTTTTGTTCTTCTTGCCCAGGCTGGAGTGCAATGGTGTGATCTCTGCTCACTGAAACCTCTGCCTCCTGGGTACAAGCGATTCTCCTGCCTCAGCCTCCCAAGTAGCTGGGATTACAGGTGCCGGCGACCACACCAGGCTAATTTTTTTGCGCATTTAGTAGAGATGAGGTTTCACCATATTGGCCAGGCTGGTATCGAACTCCTGACCTCAGGTGATCCACCCACCTCGGCCTCCCAAAGTGCTGGGATTACAGGCATGAGCCACCATGCCCAGCCTACCTCCAGCTTTCCTCTTTTTACTTAGGATTGCTTCAGTTATTTGGGGTCTTTTTTGGTGCCATATGAATTTTAGGATTGTTTATTTCTAATTCTGTGAAAAAAAATGACATTGGTTTTTTATGGAGACTGCATAGAATCTGTAGATTGCTCTGGGCAGTAGGTCATTTTAATGATATTAAATTCTTCTGATCCATGACCATGGGATATTTTTTCATTTGTTTGTGTCACCTACAATTTCACCAGTGTTTTATAGTTTTCTTTGTGGAGATATTTCACCTCCTTAAATATATTTCTGGGTAGTTTTTGTAGTTATTGTAAATGCGATTGCCTTTTGGATTTGGCTCTCAGCTTGAACATTATTGGTGTATAGAAATGCTATTGATTTTGGTGCACTGATTTTGTATCCTGAAAGTTTATTCAATCCATTTATCAAATCTACCAGTTTTTTGGTGATGTCTTTAGGGTTTTCTAGATCATATCATCAGTGAACAGAGATAATTCGACTTTCTCTTTTCCAATCTTGATACTTCTTATTTCTTTCTTTTGACAGATTGCTCTGGCTGGGACTTGCAGTAGTATGTTGAGTAGGAGTGGTAAAAGCAGGCATCCTTGTCTTGTTCCAGTCTTAGAGAGAATGCTTTCAACTTTTCTTTGTTGAGCCTGTTGTTGGCTGTGGGTTTGTTGTACATAGCCTTTTCTATTTCGAGGTATGTTTCTTCTATGCCTAGTTGGTTGACTGTTTTTATCATGAAGGTATGTTGGCTTTTATAAAATCCTTTTTCTGCATATACTGAGGTGATCATATGGTTTTAGCCATTCGTTCCATTTATATGATAAATCACAATTGTTTATTTGTGTATGTTGACCCATCCTTGCATCCTAGGTATAAAACCCACTTGATCATGGTGTATTACCTTTTGTTGTGCTATTGGATTTGGTTTTCTAGTATTTTGTTGAGGATATTTGCATCTATATACCTCAGGGTAATTGGGCTGTCGTATTTTGTGTTGTGTCCTTGTCTGGTTTTGGTATCAGGGTGATACTGGCTTTGTAGAATGAATTAGGGATAATTCACTCCTCCTCAGATTTTGGAATAGTTTCAGGAAGATTGGTACCCATTCTTCTTTGTACATTTGGTAGAATTTGGCTATGAATTCATTTGGTCCTGGATTTTTTTTGTTGGGAGATTTTTTATTACTGATTCAATTTTTCTACTCATCATTAGTCTGTTAGGGTTTCTGTTTCTTCCTAGTTCAATCTTCGTAGGTTGTGTGTTTCCAGGAATTTATCAATTTCCTCTAGGTTTTCTAGGGCATGAGTGTATGGTTCTTAATAGTCTCTGATGATCTTTTGTATTTCTGTGGTGTCAGTTGTAATATCTCCTTTTTCATTTCTGATTTTGTTTATTTGAATCTTCTCTCTTCTTTTTCTGGTTAGTCTAGCTAGTGGTTTATCAATTTTGCTTATCTTTTCGAAAAGCCAACTTTTTGTTTTGTTGATACTTAGTGTTGTTTTGGGGTCTCTATTTTACTTAGTTCTACTCTGATCTTTGTTATTTCTTTTCTTCCACTAACTTTAGGTTTGATTTGTTCTTTTTTTTCTAGTTCCTTGAGGTGCAATGTTAGATTGTTAATTTGTGTTCTGTCGATTGTTTTGATATAGGTATTTAATTCTACAAACTACCCTCTTAGCACTGCTTTTGCTCTATCTCAAAGATTTTGGTATGTTGTTTCCATTTTCATTCATTTCAAAAAAAAGGATTTCCATCTTAATTTATTTATTTTTTTCCATCTGAATTTCTTCATTGACTCAATGATTGTTCAGAAGCATGTTGTTTAATTTCCACATATTTTTATAGTTGCTGAAGTTCCTCTTGGTATGGATTTCTAGTTTTATTCAGCCGTGATCTGAAAAGATACATGATATTTTAAAAAAAAAAAATTTTTTTTTTTGAGACGGAGTCTCGCTCTGTCGCCCAGGCTGGAGTGCGGTGGTGCGATCTCAGCTCACTGCAAACTCCGCCTCCCGGGTTCACGCCATTCTCCTGCCTCAGCCTCCCGAGTAGCTGGGACTATAGGTGCCCGCCACCACACCCAGCCAATTTTTTGTATTTTTAATAGAGACGGGGTTTCACCATGTTAGCCAGGTTGGTCTCAATCTCCTGACCTCGTGATCCTCCTGCCTCGGCCTCCTAAAGTGCTGGGATTACAGGCGTGAGCCACTGATATTATTTCAACTTTTAAAAATTTGTTGAGACTTGTATTGTGGCCTAATATATGGTTTATCTTGGAGACTATCCCATGGGCTGATGACAAGAATGTATATTCTGTAGTTGTTGGGTAAAATGTTCTGTAAATGTCTCTTAGGTCCATTTGGTCTAAAGTACAATTTAAGTTCAATGTTTCTTTGTTGATTTCCTGTCTCATGATCTGTCTGTTGCTGTGAGTGGGGTGTTGATGTCTCCAAGTTTTATTGTATTGCTGCCTGTCTCTTTTTTAGATGTAGTAGTATTTGTTTTATGAATATGGGTACTCTGGTTTTGCATGCATATATATTTAAGATTGTTATATCCTCTTGTTGAATCGATCCCTTTATCTTTGTATAATGACCTTTTTTTTTTAATTGTTTTTGATTTAAAGTCTGTTATATCTGGTATAAGTATAGCTACTCCTGTTTGCTTTTGGCTTCCATTGCATGGGATATCTTTTTCCACTCTTTTACTTTCATTCTAAATGTGTCTTTACAGGGAAGGTGAGTGTTTTGTAAGCAGCATATAGTTCAATCGTGTTTTCTATGCTATTCTACCAGTCTTTGTCTTTTAAATGGAGCACATTTCTGCAAAATGAAGCTGATATTCAATGAGATGAAGAATCAAATGGGAGAATCAAATGTGATTTTAATCACAATTGGAACTGCATTACAAAATGCTTAGCATCTCTAGTCTGATCATTATTGTGCATGCCTTCTGATGTATATATGCAAGAATTTCCCTAGGGAAATAGTTTTCAACCAAGTGGCCCCAGCCTGCTTCTCAAATTTTAATATGTTTACAAATCACCTGAGATTTTGTTAAAATGCAGTTGCTGATTCTCTAGGTTTGGAATGGAGACCTACCTTTTATATTTCCTTTTTTTTTTTTTCCTTTGAGACAGGGTCTCATCCTGCTGTGCAGTGGAGCAATCATGACTCACTGCAGCCTCATCCTCCCAGGCTCAAGTGATCCTCCCACCTCAGCTCCCCTAGTAGCTGGGCTTATAGGTCGCCACCACGACTGGCTAATTTTTTTTTTTTCTCACTTTTTGTAGAGACAGAGTTTTACCATGTTTCCCAGGCTGCTCTCCAACTCCTGGGCCCAAGTGATCCACACGCCTGAGCCTCCCTAAGTGCTGGGATTCCAGGTGTGGGCCACCACACTTAGCCTACCTTTTACATTTCTAACAAGCTCCCAGGTGACACTGATGCTGCTGGTCCAAGGACCACATTTTGAATATCAAGACATTAGGGCACCATATGACTGGGGGCGGTGGCTCATGCCTGTCATCCCAGCACTTTGAGAGGCCAAAGGGGGTGGGTAACTTGAGGCCAGAAGTTTGGGACTGGCCAACATGGTTGGCCAACATGGTGAAACCTCGTCTCTACTAAAAATAACAAAATTAGCTGGGTGTGGTGGCGTGCACCTGTAATCTCTTCTACTCTAGCGGCTGAAGCATGAGAATCACTTGAACCTGGGAGGCAGAGGTTGCAATGAGCCGAGAGCATGCCACTGCACTCCAGCCTGGGTGACAGAGCGAGATCATCTTTAAAAAAAAAAAAAAAAGACATTAGGGCACGTTAAAATTTGTGGGAGGATTTTTCACTGTTAAAATGACAGGGAACACTCCTGGCAACTAGTGGTGAAGAGCCTGGATGTTAAACTTCCCGCAATGTGCTGGAAAGTTCTACATAATGAAGAATTGTACCACCCAAAAATACCAATAGCGTCTTTCTTAAGAAATAGTGCCCTTATTCCTAGTGACATTCAAGAATGTGAGGGCACTGAGAAGTAAAAAAGTAAGGAAGTAGCTATTCAGAGGCACATCAGCATGAACACAAGAGACTAGAGAGGCAGAGAGTGGAGTTGGTGGGCAGAGAGGACAGCCAGTGTGTTGACGATTGATTATATTGAGCAAATAAGTAAATCAATTAAGTGAATAAGTATATACATTGAAAAAGTTGGAGAAAGTACTTAAAAACATGGAAAGAAGGAACCCTAGAAAGAAGCCTATTGGATTAAAACTGCAGGGATCATATAAACTCATGTTTTTACATGTATATAGAAAGATTTAGAAATAGTTTTAGGTGTGTGTGTGTGTATGTGTGTGTGTACACACACATATATTTACTAGCTTTGTCCACTAAGAAGGCCTAAAAACAATGCCCCTCTCCATCTCCCAGTGGCAATGAGCACACCAAGACCCAGTTCTTGGTTTCTAAATACCATCCTTCACTGAAAGAAACTTAGGACTTCTCGGAGAAATGGATGATTCTAGTCTGGGGCAGGAAAGGCACAGGATAAGCCTAGAATATCTTGTGTCAAAAAGTTAGGAAGATGAGCCTAGAATATCTTGTGCTCAAAAAATAATTAGAATATGTCAAGAAGACACAGGAGCCACCCTGAAGGTGTTCCCACTCAGTAAATTTGGTACAATTTGAACATCAAAGAAAAAAACAAGATAAGGAACAAATACATTTTTAAAAATAGAAACAAGTGAGTCCATACATATAATAAATAAGTGTAAAGCTCTTCCTTACAATAGAATGCTAAATGATAAATATACAAGGAATGGTAGAGATATAAAATCACCATTTGGCAACCATCACAATGGTGGTTGATTCAGGTAGGAGTTGTTAAAAGATGCTAATGCTGGTGAGTAGAGTTTTGATAAAGAACAAGGTATTGACATAATCTCAGAATATCTACCCATAAAATACTAATCAATTAGAAAGGAGAAAATGATGATGTTACAAGTGAGAAACCTAGCAGACACCAACATGAGTAGGTCATCAAGGTTAACACAATGGGTTGACATTATGTGCCTCCTGAGATGATACACTGTAAAGAGAACAGCATCAGTTTTATGGTGTTTCTGCCAAGAAAACATGACCTGATTCTCATCATGCATGAGGAAACATTGGACACAGGTTGAGGATCATCTATGGAATGTGAGGTCTGTACTTTTTAAAACTGTTGAGGACATGAAAGGGAGGGAAAAACCGAAGAACTGTTGCAGATTATAGGAGACAAAAAAAACATGACTAAATGCAATGCATATTTTTGGGTGAGATTCTGGACCAGAAGGTAAAAAGAGACATTTTATGGATAGTTGGTGAAATTTTAATGGGGTTTGTAGAATGGATGGTAGTGTAAAATCAATGTTGATATCCTGACCTGCAGAGTTAGAGAATGGCTATGTTTTAAAGAAACATATACTGGACAGTTTAGCAATGATGGGGTTTTATGTCCATGCTTTGCTCTGAAATGGTTCAGAAAAATATAAACTAATGATAATGGATATGTATACACACACACACACACACACATACATACATACATACATATATAATGGAGAAAATGGGTGATAGAGCAAGGAGAGTATCTGGGTGAAGATAATATGGAGGTTCTTTTAATATGGGGCTATAGGAATGTAGAGAAGCAGGAGAAGGAAGTATCAGGACTGGATGGAAATTCCTCAAGAAGGAGGTTGACTTAAGCTTGAGTAATGGATATTTAGAAAAAAGGAAAGGAAGAGTAATAATATTCTAGTAGAGACAAACAACATGAGCAAAGGCTTAGTCTTAAAGTCCGGGACAAACATGGGATGATCAGGAGACAATAAAGAGACTGACTTGGGCAAGATAATCATGGAGGGCTTCATATTAGGGAGGAGTCGGAGACTGATAGGGTTTGGAAATTTGACCCTCCAAATCTCATGTTGAAATGTGACCCCCAATGTTTGGAGCTAGGCCTAGTGGGAAGTGTTTGGGTCTTGGTGGATGGGCAGATCCTTCGTGAATGGCTTAGTGCTGTCTTGGTGGTAATGAGTGAGTTATCGTTCTATTAGTTCACACAAGAGCTGGTTGTTAAAAGGAACCTGGCACCTGTTCCCTTCTTTCTTGCTTCCTCTCTCACCATGTAACATACCTCCTCTCCCTTCACGTTCCCCCATGAGTAAAAGCTTCCTGAGACCTCACCAGAAGCCAAACAGATGCTGTGCCATACTTGTACAGCCCACAAAACCATGAGCCAAATAAACCTCTTTTCTTTATAAATTACTGAGTCTCAGGTATTCCTTTATAGCAGTGCAAAATGGAGTAACACAGAAATAACATTGATATTAAGGTAAAGTAGATTGCTGTCATTTTTGAGTGTCCATGACCCCTATTTTCCTTGAGGAACTGCATGTTCTCTATTCCATGTGGTCACTGGATTAAGTACAAGATCTATACCTGGCCTATCATAGCAGCTTATCTTTTTGGGAAAAGTGATTAGGCCAGGGATGGTCACATGTCCTGAACAGGAAAAATCAGAATACGTCCCTGGATTGCCATAAGGATGCTGGAAGCAGATATGAATCTTTCTCCTGGGACTACTAGGTTGGAAGAATGTAAATCTGAAGCTGCCAGAAGTTGTTTTGCCCATCACCGAGAGTACTGTTAGTTTTTAAAATGTCAAACTTACTTGGCCAGGAGTGGTGGCTCATGCCTGTAATCCCAGCATTTTGGGAGGCTGAGATGGGTGGATCACCTGAGGTCAGGAGTTTGAGAACAGCCTGGTCAACATGGCAAAACCCCATCTTTACTAAAAATACAAAAATATTAGCCAGGCATGGTGGTACGCGCCTGTATTCCCAGCTTGCTCTGGAGGCTGAGGCATGAGAATCACTTGAACCCAAGTGGCAGAGGTTGGCAGTGAGCTGAAATCGCATCACTGCACTCTAGCCTGGGCGACAGAGTGAGACTCCATCTCAAAAAAAAAAAAAAAAAATCAAACTTACATAAAGTACCTTCCTTCTTTCATAATAATATGCATTCTTCTCACTTAATGCAAATTGACCTCCTTCATAAAAAATTTCCAGCCAATTCAGATATTTTCACTCTTCTCTGAGTTTCTATAACCTTTGCTCTCTTTGTATCTGCTACATTTTAAGCTTAAACTCTTAAGGTTAAGCTTTGTATCTGCTATATTATAACCTTGACCTCTTAAGGTTACCTGGACTTGTATTACTGTTTAACTGCTTTGCATGTGTATGCTTTATCTTCCTAACAACATTGTAGATTTCTAGAAAGTGATCAGAAAATATCTCTGGTTGGAAGTCACTAAACCTTTCATACCACATGAAAATATAAAGTGACACTCAAGAAAAATTAAAACCACAGTAAATGTTTAAAGGCCACCATTTTTTTATTTTTTGTTTTTTTAATACCATTAAAGTTTTAGCATCTATTTTTGATGTGCTTAAATGAAAACCTGATTCTAAATCCTGTATTTAATCTTTTTAAAAATATGTATAGTGTTGAGTAGCAAGATTATTTCTCCAAATTTCATGTAAAGGTTCATGTCTTAGTGATATAAATATAAGTGCCTGTGTATATGGCTGGAGCAGGAGCTTTGAGGCGTTTTAGAGAAAATGAATTCTGTGCTTGGTAGAAGCATGCCAAATTTAGATTAGACTCCACTGTCTGCACCCTTTCTCTCATTTCCACTTTTTTTTTTTTTTTTTTTGAGAAGGAGTCTTGCTCTGTCGCCTAGGCTGGAGTGCAGTGGCAGAATCTCGGCTCACTGCAACCTCTGCCTCCTGGGTTCAAGTGATTCTCCTGCCTCAGCCTCCTGAGTAGCTGGGATTACAGGCACACACTATCACGCCTGGCTAATTTTTGTATTTTTAGTAGAGGCAGGGTTTCACCATGTTGGCAAGGCTGATCTCGAACTCCTGACCTCAAGTGATCTGCCTGTCTCGGCCTCCCAAAGTGCTGGGATTACAGGCATGAGCCACTGAGCCCAGGCTCCACGTCATTTTTTGTTAGACATTTGGATGCATAATCTATTACACTAGGCTCTGAACATTAAGCCAAAATGGTACAGTCTGTGTTTCTGGGAATGTGTGCAATGTTAAAGAAACAGGCTCTAGTCCCAAACAGTCTGGGTTCAAATCTTGGCTCGGTCAGACACTTATTAGTTGTGTAACCTTGAACAAATTACTTTACTACTTAGTTTCTCATCTGTGAAATTGGATAGTACTGGCATCTACTTCCTTGGGTTGTTACGGGTAATTAATAGATAAAAAACCTAGAATAATGCCAAGGAAATAGTAAGCATTCCAACAGATGTTTTTTATTACTAAAATGTCCATTTTAATGTTTTAAGGGGTATGTTGTATGGTGTAGTGTAGGAGGACAAAGGAGCCTCTTAGTATAGAGAACATCATCTTACATGATAAATGTGAAATGATCAATAAGATAAATGCAGTGGGGTGTTTCCATACAATTGAAAACAATTCAATAGTTTTAGCTCAGTGGTTCTCACTTTAGTGTGCACCAGAATCACCTGGAGGGTTTGTAGAACCTTAGATTTCTGTGTTCTCCCCCATAAATTCTGATTCATTGGGTCAGGGACAGAGCCAAAGAATTTGTATTCTAACAAGTTCTAAGGGGATGCTGATGCTGCCAGTCAGGACCACATTTTGAGAATCACTTGTTTAGATCAGGGTTTCTCAACTTCGGTGTTACTGACATTTTGGACCACACCGTTCTTTGTTGCAGGGAGCTATCCTCTGCATTGTAGGATGTTAAGCAGTATCACTGGCCTCTCTACCCACTAGATGCCAATAGCACCTCCCTGCCCACCACCCACCGTGACAATCAAAAATATCTCCAGATATTGCCAAAGGTCCACTGGGGAGGCAAAACTGTTGGCCAGGTTCTGTGGCTCATGCCTGTAATCCAGCACTTTGGGAGGTTGAGGCAGGTGGATCACCTGAGGTCAGGAGTTCGAGACCAGCTTGGCTAACATGGTGAAACCTGTTTCTCTCTACTAAAAATACAAAATTAGCTGGGCATGGTGGCGGGTGCTATAATCCCAGCTACTCAGGAGGCTGAGGCAGGAGAATCAATTGAACCTAGGAGGTGGAGGTTGCAGTGAGCCAAGATAGTGCCATTGCACTCCAGCCTGGGTGACAGAGCAAGACTCCATTTCAAAAAAAAAAAACTGTCGAGAGCCACTGGCTTACAGGAATGAACTAGTAACATGAATCAATCTTTAAAAGTATAGTTTTAGGCCAGGTGCAGTGGCTCACGCATGTAATCCCAACACTTTGGGAGGCTGAGGCAGGAGGATTGCTTGAGCTCAGGAGTTCTAAACTAGTCTGGGCAACATAGCGAGACGTCATCTCTACTAAACATTTTAAAAATCAGTTGGGCATGGTAGTGCGTGCCTGTACTCCCAGCTACTAGGAAGGCTGAGGTGGGAGGATTGCTTGAGCCCGGGAAATCAAGAGATCAAGGCTGCAGAGGGCCATGATCGTGCCACTGCACTCCAGCCTGGGTGATAGAGCAAGATCCTGTCTTATACACACACACACACACACACACACACACACACACACACACACACAAAATATAGCTTTTAGTTTAAAAAGCAAGCTACAAAAAAAGAGATACAGACAGCATATATCCATTAATGTAAATTTTAGAAACACAAAAAGCAATGTACTTTTTATGAATAATATATATGTATTAAAATTATCAAAAATGTGGACTGGAAGGACACACAGCAAAACCATGAAACTGAAAGAGGTTGGAAAAGAAGAAAGGCAATGGGCCTGGGGCAGGGCACTCTTATCTGTCATGTTTCAGTGTAGGGTTTTATTACCTAAATATTTGGGCTCATTCGACTACATGATAATCTTTGTTAATTCTGAGTGATGGGTATGTGGATGTTTATTATACTATCCTCTGTATTTTTCCATATTCAGAATGTTTTTTCCAAAGTAAAAAACACACACACACACACAAATATTTAATGAGTAAAGGAACTACCCACATTACCATTTGTGTTATTCGTGTTTCTGTTGAAAGTGTTTTCTTTAGAACTTTGTCTTGAATATTGTCTTAAGTTTGGTTTTGTATATATGCTTCTGCCTAAACCTTATTGTCCAATTCCCACAGCCAACATTCTGAAATTTCTAGGTCAAGCCACTGGTCACTAACTACTCTGACCAGATAATTTGGTCACCATTGCCCTCTTGGCTCAAGTGAAAAATATAGCTTTCTTACTACATTCTGATAATCTTTTCTAATACAGCCTGCAGTTTCTTTCTAAGGGCAGCTACCTTCTCCTCTTAAATAAAGTAGCATAAGAAATGTCAAACTAGGCCATATACAGTGGCTCATGCCTGTAATCCCAGCACCTTGGGAGGCCAAGGCAGATGGATCACTTGAGGCCAGGAGTTCAAGACCAGCCTAGCCAACATAGCAAAACCCCATTTCAACTAAAAATACAAAAGCTAGCCAGGTGTGGTGGCACACACCTGTAATCCCAGCTACTTGGGAGGCTGAGGCACAAAAATCACTTGTACCCAGGAGGCAGAGGCTACAGAGAGCTGAGATTGCATCACTGCACTCTAGCCTGGGTGACACAGTGAGACTCTGTCTCAAAAAAAAGCAAAAGAAATGTCAAACTAATCACCAACATTCTCTCTCCAGCTTCACAGTCCCAAAAAAGAGGCCGTGTTATAAAATAAATTATCTCTCACACACACAAACATACATTTGTATACAACAAAATAACTTAGAAAATTATAAAGTAAAACTAGCAATGGCTAACTATAGAATTTTTATTTCTTTTTTATTATCTGTACTGTATTTTCTATAATGGACATGTATTCTATAATTTTATAATAAGAAATTTTATAATTTTATAATAAAAGGAATAAGAGCTAAGTTTTTGTTTTTTGTTTTTTAAGGTGGCAAAGTATATATAAGATAAAATTTACAATTTTAACCATTTCTTATTTTACAGTTCTGTGGCATTAAGTACATTCACATTGTTATACAACTATCACCACTTCCATCTCTAGAACTTCGTCAACTTCCCCAGTGGAAATTTTATACCAATGAAGCCCCAACTCCCTTTTCCTCTTTTCCCTCAGGCCCTGGCAAACACCATGCTATTTTCTGTCTCTATGAATGTGACTATTCTAGGAAACTCGTATAAGTGGAATATACAATTTTTTTCCTTTTGTGGCTCGTTTACTTCCTTTAGCGTAGTGCCTTCAAGGTTCACCTATGAAGATACTATGCTGTAGCATGTGGCAGAGCTATTATGATTGTTTTTTAATAAGGAAAGGATTGAATTTTCCCTCCTAAAAAAAAAATTCACAGTGGCCTGCAGCCTCATATTTACAGTAGGATGTATTTGTTTGAAAGAAGCAGAGGAATTCTACATCTCAGCTAATGCATTTCCCATAGGGGAATATACCTTGCTTGTTTTCATTGAAACCAAGGGTCTCCAAATAGCTACAATAGTAAGTAATCATTTTTTCTTACAAGAAACTCAGTCTGGTAGTTCTGTTCAGGTCAAGTAGAAATTTCCTAATAGCTTCAGTGAAGGTAGCTGTAAAAACTGCTTAACTAGAAAGCTGTTAGGTGTCCAATTTATCCTGCTCACTGCTTTCTGTATTTGATAGGACATGGTAACTGTATGATTCAAAACGGAATGACTCAAAATACAGAATAGGGTTTCATTCAGAATCTGAGCTCCCTTATTCTATTTGATTGTTTTTGTTTATGACAATTGACAACCTTACCCTTTTAAAATATGTATTAAATTTGCACTCATCGGAAAGCCAGTTTTATTTCCCCTTTCATCATTAAGAAAATAGAATTTTCTCAAGGATTCAGTTATTTCATTTATCTCTAGAGCCTTGGAGACACAGCACTGTGAATGCTAATGAGGTGGTCTTGAAGAATTGGTTGCGGCTGGGTGAAGTGGCTCACGCCTGTAATCCTAGCAGTTTGGGTGGCTGAGGTGGATGGATCGCTTGAGGTCAGGAGTTCAAGACCAGCCTGGCCAACATGGTGAAACCTCATCTCTACTAAAAGTATAAAAAAAAAATAGTCGGGCATGCTGGCACATGCCTGTAATCCCAGTTACTCAGGAGGCTGAGGCAGGAGAATCATTTGAACCTGGGGAGTGGAGGTTGCTGTGAGCCGAGATCACACCACTGCAATCCAGCCTGGGTGACAGAGCGAGACTCCATCTCAAAACAAAAAAAAAAATTGGTTGGATGTTTTGTTTTGTTTGTCTGATTGGTTGGTTGGTTGTTACTCTGCCATACAGTGGCAGAATAAGGAAATCCGTATCTCTGGAAAAAGAAATTGTTCCCATTGGCTTAATTTTTACCTTCAGGCTGTCTTATGTTTACACTTCTTCCTATTTATATGCTACATTATTATATCTATCATGGATGAAAAAAGTTTTAAGAAACAGTTTACTAAACTATTTACTAAGTTATTACCAATTATTTTTTAAAATCATCTGAACAGAATTCAATGCTCTAAAAGCACTTACTGCAATTCCTGCCATCTTTTTTTGAAAACTTACAATTGTTTTATCATTTATAAAATCTTTGAATTTGATATATTTCAGTGTGCAGTAGGGCATATTCAAGTCAAACCATGATAAGAGATACAGTTTAACATTTGCAGCTTTCAGTGGGTATTTTAACTTTTGTCCTTAATGTTCATTAATTACTACAATTTTTGCTACCTTTCCTTTCACCTAAACATTTCCTAAAGTTCTAGATAAAGTCAAGATGTTAAGAGAAAGCCTTCTCTAATATAAACTTTTAAAATAGCCCTATCCAGGTTATTTGTATTTAATGACTCATTAAACTAGACATTTTAACTTATTGAATATAATTGATAAACCAAAATTAAGCATTTCGTATACTGTTTCTCCAGCTTTCATTAGTCAGCCTCTTCTAAATATTATGTGAAAGTAGGAACACATTGTAAGCCTAAAGTATATATAAAGCTTTTATACAACATGGAAAACACAACAAAAATAATATTTAATAATTGCATAGAGCTTTACAGTTTAGTGTTTTCAGAGTAAATAATGAGGACCTGTCAGAAATTCTCAAAATAATTACTAAATTCTTTGCTGTTCAAAGCTATGTAGCATTTTCCAAATGTATATTTATAATTTTTGAGCGATAAAAAAATTTTTCTATGAAAATACAGAAACATATAAAGCACTTCTGTTTCCACACAACATGGAATAACAAAAACCAGATTTATTGTCTTTCCTGAAGCAGCCAAAAAAGGAAAAAGACCAAACATAAGAAAGCATAGTTTTCAAGGCAACAGACATCAGGCAATGTAGAAGAATGAGGTCTGGAAGATAGGACACAAGCGAGGGGAGCCTTATTACTATTAAGAAAATTAAATGTGTAGTTAAAAACCTTCCCACAAAGAAAACTCCAGGGCCAGATGGCTTTACTGGTGAATTCTAGCAAACATTTGAGAAAAAAATTCTACCAATTATCAACAAATTTTCCTAAAAATTTAAAGGGAGCAATACTTTTCAGTTCACTCAAGGCCAGCATTTCCCTGATACCAAAACCAAAGGTGTTACAAGAAAACTATAGACTAATTATCTTCCATTAACGAGATCTAAAATTCTAAACAAAATCTCCCAATATAGAAAAAGAATAATATGTCATGACCAAATGGAATTTATCCCAGGAATGAAAAGTTGGCTTAAAATTAGAAAATGAATCAATATGGAGCTGGAAGCCATTATAATAATAATAATAATTATTATTTTTGAGATGGAGTATCGCTCTGTCACCCAGGCTGGAGTGCAATGGTGCGATCTCAGTGCGCAATGGTGCAATCTCAGCTCACTGCAACCTCCACCTCCTAGGTTCAAGTGATTCTCTCACTTCAGCCTCCTGAGTAGCTGGGATTACAGGTGTGCACCACCACGCCCAGCTAATTTTTGTATTTTTAGTAGAGATGGGGTTTCACCATGTCAGCCAGGCTAGTCTCAAACTCTGGACCTCAAGTGATCCACCCACCTCAGCCCCCAAAAGTGCTGGGATTACAGGCATGAGCCACCGCGCCCGGCCTGGAAGCCATTATTCTAAGTGAAGTAAATCAGGAATGGAAAACCAAATACTGTATATTTTCACTTCTAAGTGGGAACTAAGCTATGGATGTGCAAAGTCACACAGAGTGGTATAATGGAGACTCAGAATGGGGGAGAGTGGGAAGGGATAGGTGATGAAAAGCTACATATACATCCATTTTCTCAACAAGCTAAGGAATTCATCAACCTGATAAAGGGCATCCATAAAAACCTACACCTAATACTTAATTGTGAAAGATTTAATGGGTTACCCCTAAAATCAGGAGCAAGTCAAGGATGTACACTACTTGGGACTGGTATGCTGAAATCTCAAACTTCACCACTATACACTTCATCTATGTAACCAGAAGCCTCTTGCACTCCAAAAGCTATTGGAATTAAGATACATATGTATTTTGTGTGTGCGTGTGTGTGTGTGTATGTGTGTGTATATATATATATATATAGTAAATCAATATAATTCATCATCTTTTTTTTTTTTTTTTTTTTTTGAGACGGAGTCTCACTTTGTCGCCCAGGCTGGAGTGCAGTGGTGCGATCTCGGCTCACTGCAAGCTCTGCCTCCTGGGTTCACGCCATTCTCCTGCCTCAGCCTCCTGAGTAGCTGGGACTACAGGCGCCCGCCACTGCGCCCGGCTAATTTTTTGTATTTTTTAGTAGAGACGGGGTTTCACTGTGTTAGCCAGGATGGTCTCGATCTCCTGATCTCGTGATCTGCCCACCTCAGCCTCCCAAAGTGCTGGGATTACAGGCGTGAACCACCGCGCCTGGCCTATAATTCATCATCTTAACAAACTGAAAAAGAAAACCACAAGATCATCTCAATAGATGCAGAAAAGGCATTTGACAAAAATCCAACATCCATTTTCTCAACAAGCTAAGGAATTCATCAACCTGATAAAGGGCATCCATAAAAACCTACGCCTAATACTTAATTGTGAAGGATTTAATGGGTTACCACCATGCCTGGCTAAGTTTTATATTTTTAGTAGAGACAGAGTTTCACCATGTTGGCCAGACTGGTCTCGAACTCCTGACCTCAAGTGATCCACCAGCCTCAGCTTCCCAAAGTGCTGGGATTACAGGCATGAGCCACTGCGCCTGGCCAATTTTTAAGAATAAGTCAATTATCCCCAAATTGATTTCTAGTTTCAATGACATCCCAGTCCAAATTTGGTTTTGTTTTTGTATTTTCTTAGAAACAGGCTGACCTCAAACTCCTGAGCCAAGAGATCCTCCTGCCTCAACCTCCCAAGTAGCTAGGACTACAGGTGCACACAATGGCACCCGGCTAAAATTTCACAGATTTTTTGTGTAGAAACTGATAAGGTGATTCTAAAACTCATATGGAAATATAAAAGAACTAGAATAGCCAAAACAACTTTGGAAAATAAGAACAAAGTTGAATGACTAACCCTACCATGTTTCAAGACTTATCATAATGCTATGATATTCCAAAAGATAGTACTGAGGAGGGGTAAATTGCAGCACCCTTTCACTTGACAAATGGATGAAATGTCTTTAATCCAACAATTCAGTTCTAACAATTAATGCTAAGAAAATAATCAAAGAGACGCAAAAGCAAATGGATATTAGTCTCATTCTTACCAGCTAAAAACTAGGAAATAAAAGAGATATTTAACAATAGGAGATTGGCTGAATAAGTTATAGTTCACACTTATATTAAAATAAGTATTCAGCCCAGTCATAAAAAATCATGTACTTAATGACATGGGAAAAGTTCAGGATATATAGTTATATGAATTTAGCAAGTCACAAAACAATAGGTTTCTATTTTGTTACAAATATCTGTTCTGCGGAAACAAGAGGACCACTTGAGGCCAGGAATTTGAGACCAGCCGGGGAGCAAAGCAAGACTCTCATCTCTATAAAAGTAAAATAAAAATAATTAGCAAGTTGTGGTGGCAGGCGCCCCTAGTCCTAGATACTTGGGAGACTGAGACAGGAGGATCATTTGAGCCCAGGAGTTCGAGACCAGCTTGGGCAACATAGAGAGACCCTGTCTCAAGCAAGCAAGCAAGCAAGCAGTCTGGGATCTCACTGCATATTGTTCGGATTTTGCTTTTTTTTTTTTTTTCACTTTTTTCTCTTTATCATTTTCTCTATCTTTAAATAATCTGCAAAACAGATTTTTTTTTAATGGAGGCATTGTATTTCTTTGATAAACATACCACAGGTCATTTAGTCAGCCTCTGATCATTGGACCTTTTCATTATTTCCCTTTTTTTTTTTTTTTTTTTACAAGGAAAGCCCACTGTTTACTGAGATGGGGGGCATGTAGCAAGTCCTGTAGGGATGGATCATTGTTTTACAAACATGTTTGTACTCCGCATGAATTTATGCTAGACTTGATAGATGTGGGGATAGATGATAGAGGAAGGAAGTGTGGAGGTGTAGAAATGGGGCTAATGTGTTCCACCTAGTTCAAGGAGAGCCCTATTATTTGCTGCTTTGGGGAGGGATTCCCTGTAACCCCGCCCCTCAACTATTCTGCTTTCCGCTTCCCACTGTCTGCTGAGCTGCACTGCTACCCTGTGGCCGAGTGGTGGCACTGCAGCCCAAGAACGCCAAATCATAGTGGCCTTATGGAAGCCATTTGGGTTCATTTCTTGACTGATTTTTTTAAACCCAACTTAAAACTGTAATATTTTTCTTCAATCCACAAATAGAAATGTACATGCGCAAAAATGACTGAATGTGTGAGAATTCTGTCTGGAATTAACGCTCCTTTAGAGCCCTGAGTATTTAAATAAAGATAAACATACCATTCAAGTCCCGGGCTCTTTCCCCAGCTTCAGCCCTGCTCACCTTGCCCTTAGGTACTATCCTCTAGCCATAACTGAAGCAAGTCTTCAAATAGGCCGGCTTTCTTGCTTACTGGACTTTAACCATGCTCAGCACACCCAATACCCCCTCTCTCTGCCTGACTTATTTTATTTTATTTTGAGACTGAGTCTCGCTCTGTCGCCCAGGCTGGAGTGTAGTGACGCCATCTCGGCTCGCCTGGCCAATTTTTTTGTATTTTTAATAGAGATGGGTTTTCACCGTGTTAGCCAGGATGGTCTCGATATCCTGACCTCGTGATCCGCCCGCCTTGGCCTCCCAAAGTGCCGTGATTACAGGCGTGAGCCACCGCGTCCGGCCCTGACTTCTAAATTTCACTTAAGACTTAGACTTATTTGGATTCTTTAAGATGGGGTTAGCTGTGCCTTCCATGTGCTCACCAAATTCCAGTCATTCCGGGAAACTCACCTCTTTCCCCTGCTGGATTGGAGGGTCCTTGAGCACATGACTCCTCCTCACTTTGTCCATCACTTTTCTTATCTTGTCGACAGTAAGTCCCAAACCGGAAGTAGGAATCTAGTATGTTCAAAGGAGGAAAACACAGGAACACGGATAGTATAGTATATTCTCTCATTTCAGTTCCATTATATTCAGTTCTGCCAATATTTATGGGATGCCTACTCCGTGACAGTCCTCACTGATAGCATTGGAGGTGAAAAGAGAGAGGAGAGAAGATATGGAATGAGAAACTGATAACTCTGCTACTCATTTTGCACAATTTGTTGTTCCTTTCAAAATGTACTGCATGGACAAAGTTTGGGGTATCCACTGGACCCCACTTGAGAGGTTAGGCTCAGTCATCCATATATTTTTGAAACCTTTTCTGGCTACCCACATGACTCTGATATACAGCCAACATTGAGAACATTTGCCCCAGAGTAGCCAATTAACTGTAGGAAACTCTTGAGACCCAAAGTCTTAAAGAAATAGTTCTGACAGTGAGAATTTCAGGTAAGTTGGTGAACACCGTTTGAGGATAGTAATTTTGGAGATCTACGGTTTTGCCTGCCCAGCATCCATTCTTCTTTCTTCTACTGGAAGCACCTTAATTTTCTTTCTGAAGACCATTCCTTCCCCACTTTAAGTCCTTGAAATTGAGGTAGGGCTTTGTCTCATCTCCCCCGCTCCCCCCACCCCCAACACACACACACACACACACATACACGCACACACACATACACACACACTCAGCCCATCTGAACTCTGCATTTGCTCTTTTCCAGCTAGAATTGTGCTTGAATTCAGTCACATCTGAACCTTTAGACTGAACTTCAACTCTTAGTCTGTTCAATTATTGAGCAATCAATCCCCCTGCTACTATTTTTCCTAAATGAGTTTGAGGTGGGTCTTGTCATTTGCAACCAAAACATTTCTAACTAGCAGAAATTTAGGAGACTTTCAAATGGGATAAGCAACTCCATATTCTGTCTTCTTAGAGAAAGGGGATAGATTAATTGATGTGTCCTAGTATTTTGTTTCTTGTTCTATAATAAAAATTTCCTTCATTGTTCTTAGCAGGGCTTTAAGTTTATTAAACATAAAAAGCCCATTTCTTTGGTCTAGTTTAGCCCTGTTTAATTTATCTGTTTGGAGCATGGATTTTTAAAAGCTGCCCACACATATAAAATGGAGATAATGAGATTTATTTCACTGAGCTGTTGAAGGTAAAATGAAATAACATATGTGAAATCATTTCATGCTATATAAATGTTGGGTATTATTACTATGGGTATCATCATAATTGTCATCATCTTTCATTTTCTGTCACAAAGTTCCCGGATAGTTATTTATTGTTAGTATTGATAGTTGTACAAATGCAAAACTGTAGTTGAGTAACTAAATGATCAAAACAGGAAATGTGATTCCTTTTAGGTTATAATCATCCCAGGAATGTAATAAAAGATCAGTTCAAATAATGTATTCTAAGGTACTTTAAAAACCAAAAGGCTATATGACTATAAGGCACTCTTATCTCAGTCCTGCAGGTCACTGAATCTTTGATGTTCATTTGCATATATGTTTTATTTCAGAGCCTATTAATATCATATACTTTTTATTTATTTTTAAAACAAAAAACCCACAGACTGCCTTATAGAGTGCAGTTTTATACAATGAATGGCTTTCTCTTGGTTTTCATTCTCTTCAGCCTCTCTGACAACCCACTCCTTGAAATTCTTTCCTCCCTTAGATTCAGTGACACTACATTCTCCTTCTTCTTGACCTTTCAACTACTTTTGACTCCCTTCCCCTCCCAGCTCCTAACTCTCTGGGTGCCCCTGCTAAGGCTCTGATTTCTCTCGCTATTCAGCTCCTGGAGAATTCATCCAGCCTCATCTATCCTGCATCAGTCCATAGTTCCATCTTCTTAGTATTTATTTCAGTGTGTATGTCCTGCCATGAGCTCACTTTCAGTATCTTTTAAAAATTCATAATTTCTGCTACTGTAGTTTGGCTGCCTTTACAAGTGCCCTATTTCAGTTGGTGGCAACCCTACTGTTCCTTCCTGCCCTCCTTATTGCTTCCCTCTTTTCCAACCCTCCTTTTGCAGGTGGCAAGCACTTCCGTACCTGCAGGTTCACTCTTCTCTGCTCTCCCAAGACCTCTACATTAGCCCAGGCCCTCATTTTCTCACTGGCCATCCTCATAGCTGGTCTCTTTAGCTCTCAATTCACCCCATTCCTGTCTGTCCTGTGGACTTCAGCCAAATCAATTTCCTAAAATGCCTCTTTGTGAGCTCCATAAGAGCAAGAACTGTACACTGGTCATCTTGGTGCCCTTAGCAACTGGCACAGTGCCCAGCACATATTATAGCCCTTGAATGACTGTCATTCCCTTATTCGAGAGAGTTGCTTCTGTGTGTGTGTGTGTGCGCGTGTGTGTGTGTCTGTGTGTGATCAATTTCAGACTTTCTAGCTTGACTAGCTCCATGATATGAATTATTCATCCCATCTTATTTCTGACTACTTTACCGAGTAAACCATTTATTCAAGCCAATCTGGTTTTTCCTTTTATAAACTAACATTACACTGATAATGAAGACCAAACTATTTAACACTCATTAATTCTCTACTATCAATGTAATTTGTCTTCCTAACTAGATTATGATATCCTTGAAGCCTGAAACTCTATTAACCAGCTGCCATAGAATAGTCTTTTGATTTACCCCCTACCAAAACACTCCTTCACCACAAATACTGTCTCTGACTCAGTAAAAACATTTGATATGTTTTCTTTCTATATTTATATTTGCTTTTATATTTATAGATCAATAACATATATTTACATGTCTCATTGCACCTAACACTGGTGGTCCTAAGTAGCAGTGATCACTCATTAAATATTTGTTGATTAATATATAATATATATAACATATATTATATAATATATAAGACTGAGTAACATTTTACTTTGAATCACTCCATGACCTCTAAGCCCAACATAAAATAGCATCTTAGTGGTCTGACATTGTTCCATATCTTTCTTTGGAGATAAAATAACTTAACTTGTCAAAGAGCAAGTGTCTTTTGATACTGACATCATAGAACCCCAAATTTTTTTTTAGCTAAAAACACAATTAGATGGAAAAGCAACAAGAACAGCAGTTGATGAACAGAACTGAATAAAATATGGGACTTATGTTGAAAGGCTGCCTCTGAGCTGCTGCCACATAAATAAGGAGATGGTGAGGTGGACCGAGGGACATTTACCAGTCCATGCTGTGTTATTTCTGATTTTTTTTCTTTTTTCCCCCCACAACAGGAATGACCAAATGTTCACCTGGTACCCCAAGAGAATTAATGGGTATCTTTTAAATCCCAACTCAAAGCAAGGGAATTATTTTGAGTTCTTGGTAGAATCTAACACGTTGTGTCGATGCAGGAAGGAGCCTCAGAAATAGTCTTTAAGGCTGTTGAATTCTGCATGTATTTGAATAATTAAAATGTATGTATCCCCTCCCCCCAGCCATCCTTTTATTCCTAGCACACTGCAGACATTAATAACATGAAGCAATAGTGCACTCGCACGCTTTCAGAAACAATTGCGCTAATTGTGAACTTGCCAACTGCTAACAAGAATGCTAGTGTGCATTACTCTGCAGTTATGCCCAGTTCTATGAAGAGATAGCAGCACTTTTGTCTCCAGTAGCCAAGGCTTACAGATGGGTCACTCAGCTGAGGCAGAATTGGGCTGAGCTCTTGGCAGATGGATTGGAAAGTTGGCTGACTTGTTTAGAAACCTGACATCTTGATCATCTCTAGTCTCCACAGACAGACTCTTCTGACATGCCATTCACCTCAGTACCTCCCTTACCACTCATTCACATTTTCCTTGGAAAAGTCCTGTTTTTACTGTAGATCACTTTCAGTCTGTTTCTTTCATGACTGTACTTTTGCATATATATATATATATATATATAGAGAGAGAGAGAGAGAGAGAGAGAGAGAGAGAGAGAATAGTCCTTCACAGTCCTTCTCAACCTCAGCATTCTTAACATTTGGGGCTTTGTTGTAAGAGTGTAAAGGGCTGTCCTGTCATGACAAGCAAAAATGTGTCCAGACGTTGATAAATGTATTCAGTGGTGGAGAAATCATTCCTGGTTGAGAACAAGTGGTATAGAGTCATTTGGGGTAAATTATTTGAATTCAGGTCTTGACTGACTATATATACATAGGCATAATCCACTATAAAGTACAACTGTATAAAAATTCACTAGAACAAAAGCATTTCCAACTGAAAGTCATTTTATTTCAAGAAATATCAAGTATAATGTAATTAGAGTATTAAAAATTGAATGGACCCTTAGATTTGATGCAACCTGTCTTTTTGTTTTCTGAGACAGAGTCTTGCCCTGCCCAGGCTGAAGTGTGGTGGTGCAATCATGGCTCACTGTAGCCTCTACCTCCTGGACTCAGGTGATTCTCCCACCTCAGCCCCCTGAGTAGGTGAGACTACAGGCACACACCACCATGCTAATTTTTGTATTTTTTGTAGAGATGGGGTTTTGCCATGTTGCCTTGGCTTGTCTTGAACTCCTGGTCTCAAGTGATTCTCCAGCCTCAGCCTCCAAAAATGCTGGGATGATAGGCATGAGCCATGGTGCCTGGCTAACTTGTCCTTCTTAATCAGGATATTTAATATACTAGGCTTTTATTCAAGACATCTGAATAAGGAAGAAAATTGTTTCTGTGGATTGCCACCTCTCCTATTCTGCCCTACTACAAATGTTTATTATATTCCCAGATCCTGTCCTAAATGCTTAAAAACATTTTAAGGGCTGGGCACAGTGGTTCATGCCTGTAATCCCAGCACTTCGGGATGCCGAGACAATTTTTAATACTCTGAGTATTTAACACCTGAGGTCAGGACTTCAAGACCAGCCTGACCAATATGGTGAAACCCCATCTCTACTAAAAATACAAAAATTAGTTGGGCATGGTGGCGTGCACCTGTAGTCCCAGCTACTTGGGAGGCTGAGACAGGAGAATTGCTTGTACCTGGAAGGCGGAGGCTGCAGTGAGCTGAGATTGCACCACTGCACTCGAGCCTGGGTGACAGAGTGAGACTCCATCTAAAAAAACCCAGCATTTTAAGGACTGGGTACCATAGCTGACTCCTGTAATCTCAGCACTTTGGGAAGTTGAGATGGGAGGATTGCTTGAGGCCAGAAGTTTGAGACCAGCCTGGGCAACCTAGCGAGATCCTGTCTCTATGAAACATAAAATAAAAAAGAATAAGCCTTTCCTTTGGCTGTTTTGCTGGAGACCCTCTCTTCCCTTCCCTCTTCAGCTCTGACCCAGCAGGGCCAGCACCAGTGCTCCCACTGCAGGTTCAGACACTGGAAGGGTTATTACAGATCAGCAGCTGGTGAGTCATGACCAAGTCACTGCCTGGTCCTTAGGGGACACAACTCACAAAAGCTACTATGAGTGTCTTTTAATGCATACATTTGGCTTTTAGACATAGAAAATTCCATGTCTAAGTGAGAAAATTAAAAGATGTCTTTCAAGATAAACAGAGATTGAAGGTAAAAAGAAATACCTTTTAAATTAAACAATTTGAAGGACTTAAGCCAGTGTCAGTGACTCTGAAGTAATTAAGACATAATTAAGGTACACTGAAGTATGGGGACATCATTGATTCATACTCTGTTGAGTGGAACCCAGTCAAAAATTTAAGTCTTTGGAATTTGAATCAGGAAACCCTCAGAGTTCCAGCCAAAGTCAAATGAGCACCTACACGGGACTTTTTGCCTTTGCATAGTAGTTGTTGTCTTTGTGTACCTGCTCTCTTCCCCACTCCTCTGGCAGAGTCCCAGACTCCCTGACCACAGGGGAGGGCGTATAACCCATGCTGAGTTGATCATGGTGCTCTGTCCCCATCACCCCACCCACCACACTTCAGTGTGAGGGCAGGAGGCACACAGATCAAACCAAGGAGTTCCAAGCCTTTATCCAGAATTGTCTACTGGAGCTATAGAGAGGAGGCTCATTCTTGCCTCTTAGGTCACGATGCAGGAAGGACGTGAATCTGGGGCTGCCAGAAGTCCTGCTCCCCACTGGCAGAGGGAATGGTAAATAGACAATCTGGGCAGCCTTGGCCCAGCTATCATCTCCAAGCACCCAGAGCTGCCTACTTCTGGCTTTTCTTTCAGTTCTGTGAGCTACTTCAGTATCTCTCCAATAAATCTAATGCAAGGCATAAGTGGTTTTGGCTGTCACTTAGAACCAATGGAATCCTGAAAAATACACTTGTATTCTGTTCTAAGACTACAGAACATGAAATGTTTTTCCCATATGTAAGTACAGCCATACCTGGGCTAACAGTCACTGAGGTTTAATATGTGCCAAGTACTGATAAACTGAAAGTTTTCATAGTACATTTTCTAGAGGCTTCACTGACCCCATGATCAAGGGTGTCCTAACTAGGCAGGGGAGAACCTACCATGTTCTAGGTCTATGGTTATCTGTCTCAGCTGAGATCTGTCTTCAAACACTACACAATGATAATGACAGTATCTGGTGCCATGAAAGGGCAACCTGAGAAGAACGAGTTTTTATACAAAAACCTCAGAAACTACCTCAGCATTTGACACTTAATTATACAGTAAAAAAAATTCAAAACCTTAGGTAAGCCTGTCAAAAAGATTTACCTCGCCTTTGTATCCAGTGCTGGGCTGACAGCTCTCAGTGCCTATAGTAATTAGCCCTACCCAAACCTGCAGCAAGTCACCACACGCTCCCCAGCTCCTCCTGAAATTAGTGCACTCAGCCTAGCCTGACAAACACCCTGCAAGGCTCACCTAACCTCTTGTTACATCTTTTTTGTTTGTTTGTTTGTTTTGAGACAGGGTCTTGCTCTGCCTCAGCTCTGTCACTGCTGGAAAGCAGTGGCATGATCACGGCTTACTGCAGCCTCCAACTCCTGGGTTCAAGTGATCCTCCCACCTCAGCCTTACCAGTAGCTGGGACTACAGGCATGCACCACCATAACTGGCTAATTTTTGAAAAATTTTTGTAGAGACAGAATCTCACTGTTGCCCAGGCTGGTCTCCTACTTCTGGGCTCAAGCAATCCTCTTGCCTTGGCCTCAAAAGTATTGGGATTGGATAGACTGGATAAAGAAAATGTGGCACATACACGCCATGGAATACTATGCCGCCATGAAAAAACATTAGTTTATATCCTTCGCAGGGACGTGGATGAAGCTGAAAACCATCATCCTCAGCAAACTAACACTGGCACAGAAAACCAAACACCATGTTCTCACTCATAAGTGGGAGCTGAACAGTAAGAACACATGGACACAGGGAGGGGAACGTCACACACCAGGGCCTGTCAGGGGATGGGGGCAAGGGGAGGGAGAGCATTAGGACAAATACTTAATGCAAGTGGGGCTTAAAACCTAGATGACAGGTTGATAGGTGCAGCAAAGCACCATGGCACATGTATACCTATGTAACAAACCTGCACATTCAGCACATGTATCCCAGAACTTAAAGTAAAAAAAAAGTATTGGGATTACAGGCATGAACCACCTCTCTTACATTTTTATCTTCTTTATCTTCTATCTTGCCCCTCTGATTCCTGATTTGCTTTAGCCATGGGGCGCCATTCTCAGCCTCCCTATATTCCTTGCACAATCCCACCTCTGCTACCCTGCTGATGCCGTGCCTTTTGCTGGTCCTCTTACCCTTGAAGTCCAACTCAAATGCTTCTCTGTCAGCACAACCAAAAGTGACTTATTGATCCTTGAACCTCCACGGCCCCTTAGTTGTGCCTCTCTGCCCCTTGCCACCATCTGCCTTTGAATGTAGCTGTAGTGAGGGCATCCTCTCCCCTCAGTTCCGTACTCTCTAAGGATAGAGACAAAACCTAAAAAAGTTAACAGCATGTTTTAGGGGAATGAATGAATAAACAAAGGAACGTTTATTGGCACTCAAGGCCTTTAATTACCTGGCCTAACTCTATTAATCTACTTTCTTTTGATTCTTTTCACACAGGCTTTGTGCAGGTCATTCTTAGCATTGTTCCCTGGGTACAGTGTTGACTTGAACTCTTTGCTCACATTAATTTTCCACGTACCCTTTTATTTATTTGATCATTTATCATTCATTCATTTATTCACTCATTCACTCACTCACTCATCCAGTCATTCAAATATTGACTGAGCATCTGCTGAGTGCCAAGCACTGGGCAGGGGCACCAAGAACACAAAAATGTCTAGGATTTGCTCCTTGTCTTCCAATATGGTAGGCGAGACAGATGTGTAAACCAAGCATTACAAATACTGTGTGGTATTGAGAGGTGAAGCCAGCTGGGCTTCTGGGTCGGGTGGGGACTTGGAGAACTTTTCTGTCTAGCTAAAGGATTGTAAACACACCAATCAGTGCTCTGTGTCTAGCTAAAGGTTTGTAATTGCACCAATCAGCACTCTGTAAAAACGCACCAATCAGCGCTCTGTGTCTAGCTAAAGGTTTGTAATTGCACCAATCAGCACTCTGTAAAAACGGACTAATCAGCACTCTGTAAAATGGACCAATCAGTGCTCTGTAAAATGGACCGATCGGCAGGATGTGGGCGGGGCCAAATAAGGGAATAAAAGCTGGCCACCAGCTCCAGCAGTAGCAACTTACGGTCCCCTTTCATGCTGTGGTAGCTTTGTTCTTTCTCTCTTCACAGTAAATCTTGCTGCTGCTCACTCTCTGGGTCTGCACTACCTTTATGAGCTGTAACACTGTGAAGGTCTGCAGCTTCACTCCTGAAGCCAGCGAGACCATGAACCCACCGGGAGGAACAAACAACTCCTGACGCGCCACCTTTAAGAGCCCTAACACTCACTGCAAAGGTCTGCAGCTTCGCTCCTGAAGTCAGAAAGACCACGAACCCACCGGGAGGAACAAACAACTCTGGACGCACCACCTTTAAGAGCTGTAACACTCACTGCGAAGGTCTGCGGCTTCACTCCTGAAGTCAAGCAAGACCACAAACCCACCGGAAGGAAAAAACTCCAGACACATCTGAACATCTGAAGGAACAAACTCCAGACATACCATCTGTAAGAACTGTAACACTTACCGCGAGGGTCCGCGGCTTCATTCTTGAAGTCAGCCAGACCAAGAACCCACCGGGAGGAACCAATTCCGGACACAGTATGGTTGGTCCACAAGAGAGGTATGTACACAATAAATGTGGAGACAGAGAAGGGAGTGGTTAATGCTAACCAGGAGGTGGAAATACTACCCAGGAAAACTTCACGGAGATGTACCTGCAACACCAGATCATGCAGAAGGTGTTGCTAAGAGTGGGCTTACAGCAGAGGATGGCAGGCAGTCCTGGTGGTGGCACCTGCAGGCCCCTGTGAGGCCGTCTCCACAACTGGGAACTTCTCTGAAGCCAGTGTTTGGGTCTCTCCTCAGAATGGGATTAGGCATCCAAGAGACCCTCAGACTTGCTTTTTTGGTCCTAACTTGCAACCAGTTGGTCCCCTCCAACTGGTGACCAAACTTTTTTTGTGTGTGAGACGGACTGTTGCTCTGTCACCACGCTGGAGTAGTGGTGAGATCTTGGCTCACTGCAACCTCTGCCTCCTGGGTTCAAGCAATTCTCCTGCCTCGGCCTACCGAGTAGCTGGGACTACAGGTGCGCACCACCACAGGTGGCTAATTTTTCTATTTTTAATAGAGACGAGGTTTTGCCATGTTGGCCAGGCTGGTCTCGAACTCCTGGCCTCAAGGGATCTGTCTGCCTTGGCCTCCCAAAATGCTGGTATTACAAGCGTGAGCCACGCACCCGGCCCAAACTCTTTATGTAGATAAGTTAACATCTCCCAATTCTGCTCTGAACAAATCATGTGCTTGGCCTGAGAGTTGTTCGGTCCCTTTAAAGTACCTGTATCTGAGAGTATCTGTATCCAGTATAATCTGATTTGCCTTTATTTTACTAGTCCAGTTCTCAGAGTTTACCAGTGACTCAGTGGCAGATTCTAAATTTAACTGCTTCATGCAAGAGGTTCTTCCCTCTGCACTAAGCTGTAAACTCCCTGAATGCTGAGTCTATTTTCTCTCTCTGTGTATCTCCACATCACCAGCTCTGCTTGGTCCATGGTGAGGGGGGTCAGTGTCCCCTGAAAAACATACAGGCATACCTTGGAGATTGTGGGTTCTTTTCCAGATCACCATAATAAAGCGTGTCACAATTTTTTGGGCTTCTCAGCACATATAAAAGTCATGTTTATAGTACATTGTAGTCTACTAACTGTGCAATAACATTATGTCTGAAAAAATCTACATACGTTAATTTTAAAATACTTTATTGCTAAAATATGCTAATGATCACCTGATACTTCAGTGAGACATACTCTTTTCACTGGTGTAGGGTCTTGCCTTTAGATTGATGGCTGTTGACAGATCAGGATGATGGTTGCAGAAGGTTTGGGTGGCTGTGGCAATTTCTTAAGATAACCACAAAGTTTGCCACATCGATTGTCTCTTTCTTTCACAAAAGAATTTTCTGTAGTATGCAATGCTGTTTGGTAGCATCTTCCCCACAGTAGAACTTCTTTCAAAATTGGAGTCAATCCTATCAAACTCTGCCACTGCTTTATCAACTGAGTTTATGTAATATTCTCAATACTTTGTTATCATTTCAACAATATTCACGTTATTTTCACCAGGAGTAAGTTTTATCTCAAAAAACCACTTCCTTTGCTTATGCAGAAGAAACAATTCCTCATCCATTCAAGTTTTATCCTGAGATTCCAGCAATTCAGTCACATCTTTGGACGCCACTTATTCTAATCCTCTTACTATTTCCACCATATTTGTAATGACTTTCTCCACTGAAGTCTTGAACCCCTCAAAGTCATCCATGAGGGTTGGAATCAAATTCTTCCAAACTCAGTGTTGATATGGTGACCTCATCCTTTGAATCATCTGGCCATTTACTTTGCCCAGATCTATCAGAAGAATCACTATCTATGGCAGTAATAGCCTTACAAAATGTATTTCTCAGGTAATAAGACTTGAAAGTCAAAATGACCCTTTGATCCATGAGCTACAGAATGGATGTTGTGTTAGCAGGCATGAAAACAGCATGAATCTCCTTGTACATCTCCATCAGAGCTCTTGGGTGACTAGGTGCATTGTAAATGAGCAGTAATATTTTGAAAGGAATCTTTTTTTTCTGAGCAGTACATTTTAATAGTAGAGTTAAAATATTCAGTAAACCGTACAGTAAACAGATGTGCTGTCATCCAGGCTTTATTGTTCCATTGACAGAGCACAGACCAAGCAGATTTAGCATAATTCTTTTTTTTTTTTTTTTTTTTTTTTTTTTTTTTTTGAGTCTACTCTGTTGCCCAGGCTGCAGCGCAGTGGTGCAATCATCACAGCCCCTGCCTCAATCAGTTCTCCCACCTCAGCCTCCCAAGTAGCTTGGACTGCAGGTGCATGCCACCATGCCCAGCTAATTTATTTTTATTTTTGTAAAGACAGGGTTTTGCAATGTTGCCCAATCCACTTGCCTCAGCCTCCCAAAGTGCTGGGATTACAGATGTGAGCCACTGTGCTCAGCTGCATAATTCTTAAGGGGCCTAGAATTCTAGAAATTGTAAATGATTATTGGTTTCAACTTAAAGTCACCAGCTGTTTTAGCCCCTTACAAGGCAGTCAGCCTGTCCTTTGGAGCCAGGCATTGACTTCTTTCTAGCTAGTAAAGTCCTAAATGCCATCTTCTTCCAATATAAGGCTGTCTTACCTACATTGAAAATCTGTTGGCTGGGCGCAGTGGCGCAGGCCTGTAATCCCAGCACTTTGGGAGGTCAAGGCGGGCAGATAACAAGGTCAAGAGATCGAGACCATCCTGGCAAACTTGGTGAAACCCCGTCTCTACTAAAAATACAAAAATTAGCCAGGCGTGGTGGCGGGTGCCTCTAAGACCAGTTAATCAGGAGGCTGAGGCAGGAGAATCACTTGAACCCGGGAGGTGGAGGTTGCAGGGAGCCGAAATCGCGCCACTGCACTCCAACCTGGCGACAGGATGAGACTCCGTCTCAAAAAAAAAAAAAAAAAAGAAAATCTGTTGTTTAGTGTAGCCACCTTCATCAGTTATCTTAGCTGGATCTTCTGGATCACTTGCTGCAGCTTCTCCATTAGCACTTGGTTCGCTTTGCACTTTTATATTACAGAGATGGCGTCTTTCCTTAAATCTCAGGAAAAAGTAGCTTCCTACTTTTTTCCTGCAGCTTCCTTACCTCTCTCAGCCTTCATAGAATTAAAGACAGTTAGGACCTTGCTCTGGATTAGGCTTTGGCTTAAAGGAATGTTGTGGCTGGTTTGATCTTCTATCAGACTCTCTCCATGTCAGTAATAAGGCTGTTTCACTTTTTTTTATCCTTTGTGTGTTCACTGAAGTAGCACATTTAATTTCCTTCAAGAACTTTTCCTTTAAATTCACAACTTGACTGGTGCAAGAAGCCTAGCTTTTGGCCTATCTTAGCTTTTTTTTTTTGAGACAGAGTCTCACTCTGTCACCCTGGCTGGAGTGCAGTAGTGCAGTCACAGCACTCTGCAACCCCAACCTCCTGGGCCCAAGTAACCAACCCCCCCACCTCAGTCTCCCACGTAGCTGGTACCACAGGCAGCAGGCACATGCCACCATGCCTGGCTAATTAAAAAACAAATTTTTTTTTTAGAGACAGGGCCTCACTGTATTGCCCAGTCTTGTCTTAAACTCCTGTCTTCAAGTGATCCTCCCGCCTTGGCCTCCCGAAGTGCTGGGATTATAGGCATGAGCCACCACGCCCAGCCTATCTTTTGACATGCTTTCCTTAATAAGTGTAATCATTTGTAGCTTTTTATTTAAGGTGAGAGACATAATCCCTACAATAATAAACGAATAAATAAATAAAGTGAGAGATATGCAACTTTTCCTTTCACTTGGCACTTAGAGACCATTGTAGGGGTTTGTTGTTGTTGTTGTTGTTTGTTTGTTTGTTTGTTTGGGGGACAGGGTCTCACTTTATCAGCCAGGCTGGAGTGCAGTGGTGTGAACACGGCTCACTGCGGCCTTGACCTCCTGAGTTCAAGTGATCCTTCCACCTCAGCTTCCCAAGTAGCTGGGTCTACAGGTGCTCACCACAAAGCCCAGCTAATTTTTTTTTTTTTTCAGATAGTGTTTCACTCTTCTTGCCCACACTGGAGTGCAATGGTGCAATCTCAGCTTACTGCAACCTCCACCTTCTGGATTTAAGCGATTCTCTTGCCTCAGCCTCCTGAGTAGCTGGAATTACAGGTGCCCACCACCACGCCCAGCTGATTTTTGTATTTTTAGTAGAAACGGGGTTTCACCATGTTGGCCAGTCTTATCTCAAACTCCTGACCTCAGGTGATCTGCCCGCCTCAGCCTCCCAAAGTGCTGGGATTACAGGTGTGAGCCACTGCGCCTGGCCTAGCCCAGTTAATAATTTTAAATGTTTTCTAGAGACAGGGTCTCACTATGTCGCCCAAGATTATAGTAGGGTTATTCACTGGTCTAATTTCAATATTGTTGTGTCTTGGGGAACAGGGAGGACTGAGAAGACAGAAAGAGAAGTGGGAATGGTTGGTCGGTGGAGCAGTCAGAACACACACAGTATTTATCAATTAAGTTTGCCGTCTTATGTGGGCATGGTTTGTGGAGCCCTCCAAAGAGTTACAATAGTAGCACCAAAGATTGCTGACCACAAATCATCCTAACAGATATACAAACTGGGAACGAGTTTGAAATATTGCGAGAATACCAAAACGTGACACAGAGACACAAAGTGAGTATGTGCTGTTGGGAAAATGGCATGGATAGACTTGCTCCAACCTTCCATTTGTAAAAAATATAGTATCTGCGAAGTGCAATAAAGTGAAGCTCAATAAAACGAGTGTGCCTGTAAACTTTCCACTCTTCTCTCCCTAAGGCAGTTCCCGTTTCTCTCCCTTCCTCTTCTCCTTTTCTAATTCCTTATTGTCCACTGCCCCCAGTTCTCCTTCCTACTCCTGTGAACCCACTGGCTTAGAGGGAGAATCCACTATCTAGGAAATGCAAAATGCTTTTAGGAGCGTTTAGAGCCTTCCCCTGCGGAAGAATATTTGAATGTAGAGCAGGATTTAGGTAGACGTTTGACCTTCAGTGTTTCTTCCCTCACCGAGATTTTATGTTTCTGTCTTAAGGTACTGCTTCTAAGGCTCAAACAGCTTATTTGCTACAATTCCTTGTTCTCATGATTTTTGAGGGGGTTCTATTACGGGGGTGGGGAATTTTCAACATAAACCATACCTTTAAACTGAGATTGGAAAATCATTAGCTGATGTTTATTGTGTTAGTCTTTAATGATTTTACAGTATAATCTTTGACTCACACAGTTATAAATCAAAGAATACCAAGTTCAAGGATATTGATGGGAACTAGTTTGCATAATATTGCTTTGTAACCTTCACAAAAATAAAATGTAATTATTAATGTCATTATTACTGATAGTTGCTCCAAATGTGTGATTTTCCTGACTCATGTAAAAGATGAAGAACTCCAGAAATCGTTCAGTTCTTTGCCAGTGTAAGATACCAGTAACAAGCAGAGATAATTTTCTCTTTGCCAGTTCATCATAGACTCTGATCAATAGTCAGGGCCAGAAATTTAAGATGACACAATCCATTAAAAAACAAAACAAAACTGTGTATCCTCTCAATGTCAGGACAAAGTTTGGAGGCCAAAAGAAAGTTTTCTCAAAGTAAAACCTTATCACCAGTGGACACTGGTGTTTCAGGCAAAAGATGGCAGCCACTGTAGCTCATGGGGTTTGGTCCTGATGGGAGCCTGCCTGGCCTCTTTCTGTTCCATGGGTGCACCAAACCTACCACCAGAGCAACTGGGCCATGCTGCTAGGTGTATACGGTTTATCTGTTGGAATATAAAAACAGGGTAGAGTAGGGTTATCAACATTTCTGAGAGCACACCCTCATATGCATGTGATTTGTACAAATATGTCTGTTTGGCATCAAGAGATTTTATACAATAGAATACAAAAATGTAGAACTGGAGTTTGAATTCTGAGTGAAGAGAACAATGAAAAGAAAGTGACATATGCTTGAACTATTTGCTTTGCTCCAGGAGAATTTTGCTGTGCTTATGAATTTATTAAGGAATAACGTTAAATGAGTTACTAATTGTGAAGTATCAAGGCCACTGCTTGATACATAGTAGGCACTCAATAAATGTTAAACCTCCCTCCTGTTATCATATCATTGTGATTGCCAAACTTTGAAGACAAGATCTAGAATAAATTGCCACCAGGACCAGAGACACAATCAAGGGTATATAAAAATTTTGTTAAGACAGCTGCATACTCACCCTTCGGTCAGAGCTTGAGGTGTTTGATCTTGCTTTATGCAGTGTTCAGAATGAATGGCCTTTAAGATAAGTTGGCATACACTCTTAGAATTAGGTATTAGGCCAGTTCACTCAGAAATACATCCGGGGTGGACGGGTGGGTGGGTGATGTCAGAAATGATCCAAATCTTCTAGATGTTGTTTAAAATCAGTATCAGTTATGAAGCTGCCCTAGCCCAAAATAACCCCAGCATTTACCAATCTTCACAAAATAGAATTTCAGGATGGTAGCGAGGAAAGGCACATTTTTCTTTTCAAAACACTATGTTAGAGCATCAGTTATCACTATGAAGATAAATCATAGTTCATCTCCTGCATTTATCAAGGTGCCAGAAACATCACAGACACTCAGTATTTAGTAGATAAATAAATCTCAGTTTTTTTGGAATGTTTGACAGTTGATTCCAGGTAGAGATGATGGATTAAACAAATGCATGTAATTTGATTCCCTCCAGAACCCCACTAAAACCCTCAAGAACGAGGAGAGAATGAGATGAAGCAATAGCAACAGAATTTTGGAGGCCAGAGAATAGTGATAAAGGACTTAGCAGACGAGAAAACCAAATGCTAAGTTACTGGCATTGCAAAATCCTCAGGATATAGAGTGAAGATGAAGAAGGAATAAAATAAGGGAACTGGTTGGAGGCTGGGAACTACTTAAAAAGTAGTAGTACTTCTTATATGCATGCTCTCTACTCCTTTCTACTGGGTAACTGCCCCTCCTCCGTCCTAACAGATGCAGAGGTTTGTCCACTTCTTAGCCATAGCTGAAGGGGATAGGGACTCTAGAGAGAAAACTGGGATTGATTAATTAATGCAGTCATGCTAAATGCTCAGATCCTCTCACCTTCCAAGTGGAAGATTGGAAAAGCCTTCTTAAAGGAATATTACCAGCCCAAAAGGAAAAAAAAAATCCCCAAAGATAGTGATAAGAGGTAATATGGAGGAGGATAGGGTGTGGTTAGAATTCCCCAACAAAGAGCCTACCCATTTCATCTTACAGTAAAGTTCCTGGGCAACAGGTCTTCCCCAA